>NC_000013.11:77195984-77347499 GCF_000001405.40 Homo sapiens | reverse complement strand
TAGCACTAGGATTACAGGCATGAGCCACCACACCCAACCAATACTTTCTATTAACAGTTACATTTTGGAAATTATGTTTAAATCTATAGCATGCTGTATAAATATGAGATATTAATATCAATTTATGTGCTAAAGAAATTGAATTTTTAAAAAGAGGATAGCATACAACTTAGAAAATCCTAAATTTGAAGGCATGTAATAAAGCCAAATATCAACTGAAAATTTACTTTAGCCAATTATTTTTATTCTTCCTCAGCTATGCAGCTATGTATTTAGGCATACATGCACTACTGCATTACTAAAGATCTGTAAGCAGGTATTTATTTTTGCAGAGCTCATAGTGAGTAACAAAGTTTAAATATCACTATCTTTCAAGTTCACTCTCTTGAAAATTAACAATGGATCAGTTTACTGAGTTTTTTTGACAAATAATTTGATCAAAATCATAAAGCACAAGATGCCACAGTGATGATTTCTGTGCAGAATGGAATGGTAAGAACCAGAATGAAATGTTCTCATTGATTCTGTAAAATTCTGCTAAACCTCTAATTACTTTAATGCTCTGTCCTCTCACATTTTCTCTCTCCAATCCAATTATTTCCCTTTATGAACTTCTTTCTAAATGTTACCTGTATTGACATGGTCAAATAAACTAAAAAGTACAATGGCCCCAGAAGTATTTGACTTTATTTATTTATTAATAAGGCTACACAATAAGCCCATATGGTAACATATCCATGTCATATAGGACACACTGTTTCTGCGGTAGTCTACAGAGGTATTGTTCTATAACCAATTACATAAAGTATCAAACCATTGCAGTGGGATCTACATAGTTTATAATAGTTTATTCAATAGTTATATATGTGCAATTATTAAAAAGCAATAACTTTAATAAGTAAAAAGATACAAAATAACCCTGATATTCTGAATTTTGGAATTGTAATAATACTACCGACTAATATGTTTACTATTTTTAAATCTTGAATGGAGGATGTACCTTTCTTGAACAGAACAGGAAATTGATGATTTCCTTTGTATTATTTTATGTCAGGATAAAGAAAGAAATTTAGGGGTGCTCCTCAGTTCTGTAATGGTGGCTAGAAAATGGATTAATGGACAAGATATTGTATACATACACACACACACACACACACACACACACACACACACACGCTTTGAGGCAATGCTTCCATTTGTCAAAAGAATTACTTTTCTCTTGCATTCTGTAAACACCCTTATGATAGGTCAATGTTCATTTTTAGAGGCCTTATATTGTTTTGAAATAAAGATAAATTAAAGAATGTTAGATTTGCAATTAATTCAAGTACATAATGCACCAATATTATAAACAATATTGGGTGGATTCACTTCTAGAATTTACCATCTGGTGGCACATGTCTGTAGTCCCAGCTACTCAGGAAGTTGAGGCAGGAGAATCACTTGAACCTGGGAGGCGGAAGTTGCAATGAGCTGAGATCGTGCCACTGCACTCCAGCCTGGGCGGCAGAGTGAGACCCTGTTTAAAAAAAAAAAAAAAAAAAAAAAAGAGAATTTACCATTATCTGGTTTTCTCATTATATTTTCCTTGGTACAAATATTAAATAACGTTAACTTTTTAACCTATTAAAGAAAGATTTTATTATTTGTGTGGGAAGAAAAAGGGGATTTTCAAAGGAGATGAGTATGTCAAAAAATTTATAATAGCCTTCAAAACTGTATGCTTCCTGTGTTTTAAATATTATGGGTTAAATTAGTCACTATCTCCACTTACAAGGAGTAAGATTAACTTTTTTCTTTCCAAATTAGAATTGAGGCCAACCAAGTTCCTCAAACCAAAACTGAAGTAGACATAGTGGCTGGCTTAGGCGGGGAATTTCTCTCTGTGGTGGAATATTCAGGGGGCTTCCACACCAGTGTTCAGTTTTTATAAAGCATGTAGACAAAGCTTGATGTGAAGCTGGATTTCTCTTGCCCTTCTTGAAATAGGTTAAGAAGGAAAATAGATACTGTTTACCCGAGACTATTGTAGCAACAGTAGTTAAGTAATTATGCCTCTACATCCTTTCCATGATATACTTCTCAGGGGCCATTCATACCTTACACAAGTGTTGACTAACAGTCCTGAGTAGATGCTGAATGATGATTTATGAGACTATTTTAGCTAGAGACCTTGCCTCTCTACTGTTCTACCAGCAGGAAAGTAAAACCTATATACTACACAAAGAGAGCAGCAAATGTTTACCCAGCCAGGAGGGCAGCATTTGCCAGTCAGACCAAGAGAATGGCATGGTCTACTAGACCAGAGATGTGATATCTTCCTACCAGAAACAAAGGTCAACATCTGTCTACCAAGCAGGAGGGTAGCCTCTGTCTACCAGTACAGGAGGGTAACATTTTTCAGAGCCAACATTAAGTGCATTTATTTGGCTTTTGTATTTGCCTACTTGTTTTAAAAGGTTATATTGTGAAAAATGCTAATGATTTAATGACCAAAGATCCATGTATGTATTTTGATATGAAAGTATAAATATTAGAAAACAAATCCTTGAATACAGAGTAACACATTATATTTACAAAAGCAGTAGGAAGTCATAGAAACAGATTATTAGTAGATACATCTCTAAATTTAGTTTCAGGTGGTAAATATATTCTAAGTACAGTATTTATTCAACTTAATATTTTAAGGAAAACTATGTGATAAATATATTTGTATATACGTTGGCTTCACTAAAAGGTGGTCTAATGGTATTTTTCTTGAGAACATCTTAATATGAGGCAAAGCACATTGCAATGTCAGAAATCTAAAATAGTCATATATAATTTGTTTCACTAAAAAATATGATTATGTAGCAGATAAATCAGGAAGTCATTTACATTAAGGTACACCAATAAAACAAAACAGTGTTAATGTAACACATATCTAGATTTTATTAATCTGGTTCAAACAAGAAAATAACAAAGAACTATTTCAGTGGGAGAAAAATCAGGTTTAAAGATAAATATTACATATTCTACAAGAATTACACATTGTCATAATTAGGAAAAAATGCAAAGCTAGCTATTTACTTATTCATTCATTTACTTACATTCTCTGTGCTATTGCTCAGAGATTTGAGTTGATTTGGACCCAAAGCACACATTTTGAGATAGTAAAATATAAATCAAAGCAGAAAATTAAAATCAAGGAGAAGATAATATAGAAACCAAACAGGAATGCCAGACTAGTAATCAGTGTTTTTTTTTTCAACCCTATCAGTACACCTCCTCTTTATAACAAATACGCAATAACTCCTTTACTACCCTGGTGGGAAATTTAAAAATACAGTTTATATAAGTAATAAAAAATACAAAGGAAAACTAAAGTTAAAAATATATATACAACACTTTGGCAAGATTTCACTAGAAGACATGAAGAAGTAATCGGATACTTGAATGTAAATGTTGAGTCACCATGAATGTGACAACTACAAAGATGGACTGATACAGGTATGTTATATCGATCACTCAGATACAACAAATGAAATTCCAAACCAAACAAAGGTTACGTTTCCCTTGGTTTATACCTTTGTTATATTTCTGGAAAATTCTTGCAGCTGGATAAAATCACTAAGTGTCTGAGTGAGGTAACTAGTAAGTATCTGAAGTTGGCCCTCAATCTTCCTCTCCTCCCTGTACTGGCAAGCTGCCTCTCACATCAAGAGTGGAGTTTACTTGTCCTTGCCTTAAGTCTGGACCAGCCCTGAGTCTGGCCTTGACCAATAGAAAGCAGCTGAAGTTCTGTTTTGGGGCTCCTGAGCCCAAGCCTGAAGAGGACTGGCTGTTTTCCTTGCCACCTCTTGGAACCCAGCTACCATGCAATGAGAAGCCCAAGCCCTCCATTTGATGGAGGCCTGAGGTGCTCTAACTGACAGCTCCAAACTCAAGTGGCAGCCATGTGAGTGAGCTATGTTAAGCCCCCCGCTGACTGTAGTGCCAATAAATATCACATGGAACAGGAAAACTGCCCAGATGAGCCAGTCGTCCCACAGGGTCTTAGCAGATAATAAACTTCTGTGGTTTTAAACCCTTATCTGTTGGGATGCTTTATTACACACCAATAGACAACCAAAACAGCATTTATATGTAAAATGGAATTAGATTCTAGTTTCAGAAAGATATAAACAGGCTTTTAATCTATTTGAAAATTCAGTGGGACACTTGAAAGTCTTGTAGGACGGGGGATAGTTCTTCATGATGAGTGATTGTCCCATTTAATGCAGGATGTTTATCATCTGTGGCACCTACCCTAAATGTAAGTAGTGTTTCCTGGTTATTATGACAACTAAAACCATCTCTACACATTTCTAAAGTGCTCTCTAGGCAATGGTACTGACTCTGACTAAAATAATTATTTAGATAGTGACTATGGTGGTAGGTAGTGGTAAAGATAGAAATGAACTATAGTCCATGTCTTCAAGAAACATTTAATTGGTGAGGCAAAGAAATGTCAAACTATAACACAAAATAGTAAATGTTGGCCAGGCACCATAGCTCATGCTTGTAATCCCAGCGCTATGGGAGGCTGAGGCAGGGGAATCATTTGAAGCCAGGAGTTTGAGACCAGTCTGGTCAACAAAGTGAGACACCCATCTCAAAAACAAAAAAGGACACAAAAATAGGCTGGCCATGATGGTGTGAGCCTGTAGTCCCAGCTACTCCCAAGGCTGAAGGTGGGAGCACTACTTGAGCCCAGGAGTTTGAGGGTGCAATGAGCTATGATTGTGCCATTGCACCCCAGCCTGGGTGACAGACTGAGACTCTGCCTCAAAAGAAAAAAAAAATGGAAATGTTATGATGGAGACGTCTTCCTGGGACTGTGGTAGCACAGAGAACCAGCTTAGGAAGGGCTGGTCAAGATAAGTTTCCAGGAGGAGTTAATTACTGAGATTAATTTTGAAGTAAATACTTGAGTATCCAAGTGGAGGAGAAGGAACATGGAAAATCAGGCAGAAAAACAACTTATGCAAAAGCACAGTGTGGGGCAGTGGCAGGTATAAAGATGGCAAGGTAGGCTGGGGCCAGAGGCCGATGTGTCTTTTATGCCTTTTTAAGGAGTTTATTAAAGCCTGAAGGCAATTTCGTTGCCAAAGTCAATGTCATATGTCTCCCACATCACTCTCCCAGTCTCCCTTGCAGTTGGCTTGGGGCCTTGTGACTTGTTCTGACCAAGAAACAAGGGTGGAAGTGATGTAAGCCACTTCTAGGCCTGGCTCCCAATAGCATCCCAAGCAATCTTCCAACTCACTCTTCCTCTGCCTCATGTTGGAGGCCATGTATTCCAGATGGCAGAGCTCTAAGAATAAAGAGGACTACCTGACCTGTATGAGACTGGCATGTTCAGGAATTAATCCAGTATTAAGTCACTGAGATTTGGGGGGTATCAATCGGAATTCTTTCAAGAGACAAATTGCCCCAGATAGTTCGAGTAAATAGATTTTAATGAAAGAACTCCTTTCAGAATTGTGGCAGGGTAAGGGAAGAAACATGATAGGTGGGAAGCTGTTATGACCTCTAGATCTGAAGGGGCATAGAGAGGAAGTGGAGTTATGAGAGCCCCAATAGTGGAGCCAAAGAGGAGAAGCTACCCAGAGGAGCTCTAGTCAGAAGCACAGGCCGGGCACAGTGGCTCATGTCTGTGATCCCAGCACTTCGGGAGGCCGAGGTGGGCAGATCATCTGAGGTCAAGAGTTCGAGAGTTCGAGACCAGCCTGGCTAACATGGTGAATAACTGTCTCTACTAAAAATACAAAAATTAGCCAGGCATGGTGGTGGGTGCCTGTAATCCCAGCTACTCGGGAGGCTGAGGCAGGAGAATCACTTGAACCTGGGAGGCAGAGGTTGCAGTGAGTCATGATCAAGCCACTGCACACCAGCCTGGGTGACAGAGTGAGACTCCACCTCAACAAAAAAAAAAAAAAAAAAAAAAAAGCAGCAGCACACAGGCCCTGTCAGAGGCTATGAACCAGGAGGAAGCGAGCTGGAAACAAATACCCTGACCTGCCTCTTCTCCTGCCCTTCCATCTCCTGAAAGGGGCTCCCCATTGGCCAACCCCAATCAGAAGGCAGCCTGGAAGGAGCCCAGGTGGCACAGTGCACAGGGGCCAGCCTCCAGGGGCACAAAGCCGTTCAGTGAAGAGAACAGAATGCCTCTGGGGGGTGAAGAGAATCAGCAGCTCACAGGTTTGGCTGTTGTGGCAAATAGCTCTAATTACCCTGCTTAATACAAATCATGGAGGGATTTTAAGTGAATTTTTAAAAAATAAGATTTATTGAAATATAATGAACATACCAAAAGATTCATCCTTTTAAAGTACAATTGAGTGCTTTCTGTATAGTCACAGTTGTGCAGTCATACACAGCAATTGTAGATTATTTTCATCACCACCCTGCCCCCACCACCAACCTACACACACAAATCTCATACCCATGAAGCAGTCACTCCCCAAACTCTTCTCCATCCCCTCCCCGCCCAGCCACTGGAACCACTAGTCTACACAGTCTGTTTCAGTGGATCTGCTGACTCTGGATGTTTCATATAAGTGGACCCACACAATATGTAGCCTCTTGTGTCTGGCTTCTTTCACTTAGCATTATATTCTTTTTTTCCCTTGGTAAGAAAGACTGTATTCAGCATGATTTCAATAGGTATAGAGACTACTACAACAGAGTCTGCAGTGACTGGGAGAGATTGGCCTCAACCTCAGCAACATATTTTCAAGGTTTATTCATGTTGCAACGTGCATCAGTATTTCATTCTTTTTTATTGCCAAATTACATTTCATTGCATATGGTACAGCTTTAAAAGATCACAATAGTGTGGAGAATAGGTTGGATTGAGCCCAAAATCAGTGGCAGAGGTATGTGTATAATGTGTATAAGTGGAGGAGTGATCATGTTCTCTAAATATATTTCCTCAAATTCTTATCAGACCAGGAAACAAGTTAGCGAAGATAAAGAGCACTCTTCATCTCCCATCCCAAAATCTCCTCCTTTTCCTGGACTCCTCATCTCGATGAAACCATTATCCATCCAGAATCTGGGGTCCTACTAGGAGTCTCCATTTTCCCCACCCACGTTAGATCAGTCACTTTTTTCCTGTGCATGAAACTTCCCAAAGGGCCCTCTTTTCTCTATACCAACTGTTTTCTTTGAGGCCCTCAATGGGGTCATGTTGAACTACAGCAGTAACTGCCTAATTGGTATCCTTTGTTCATGGTGCCCAGCTACATTCTATCATTGGGAGAACAACAATGATAGAATATTGGTAGCGAAATGTAACAACTTATTTTATTGTTGAGTTAGGAAGGAGAAATCAGGCATCAATAGCCTATATCCCCTTCCTCTTTTCATCCAACGAGGAGGTAGGAGCCTTCGAGGAGCAGGCAATTTCCTCCCTGTTGCATAGGGAGAACTGCCCTGCCTGTACTAAAGTGAGTGGATGGATAAAATTGCTAGCATTTGAGGTTTAGAGGAGAGAGCTTTCTTAGCTTTACATTAAGCTCTATCCTCCCACTTAACCGTTATTGTAATAAAAGTGATATCTGCTTCCATTTGCTACAGATGTTTTAACAACTTTTTCAGAATTTGGGGAAGGACTGTAACAAAATATCAAGTTTATTCTCTCAGTAGCCAAATATAAAGGGAATAATGATCAATTGTCTAGTTTTTCATTAATAAAGGGAGAGAACAGGTTTTCAGGAAAGTAGTGTCTTCGTGAGTACTTAATTCTAAAACAAAATCCTAAGGTGAGAAATTTGGGTCATGACACGATGTCATAAATAATGTCATCATTATTTTAAGCAGGTGAAATGACAGATTATGTCCTTTACTCATTATAATTGTCTAGGTTTCAGTTCCCCCAGGAAACTGGCTCTGAAACAAAAACTTGTATGCAGGAAGGTTACTAGCAAGTATACTCAGGAACACAACCTGTAAAGATGTCAGAGAAGCAGAATTAGATAGAGGGAGAAGTGAACTGAGGATCAATTAAAAACAGAGGTATCAGCCAAACTCACAGGGAGTTCTGGAATTGGCCTGGCCCTTGGAGTTGTCTCCACATTAGGGGGACAGGACTAGGTCTTTGTACCACTGCAATGTTAAGTCACTTGAAGCAAACTGCACCTCAGGGAGGTGACATGACCATAAGCCAGGAAGCAGTCGTCAGCTGAGGACAAGTCTCAGCAAAGGGCTCAGCTGTGAGCTGTCGGCAGCCAACACTTCTGACAGCTGGGAAATAAGGGACTCGCTCCCAAGAGAGCAATCCGGGCAATACACTGCGAAATCCATTACAGTCCATCCCCAGCATTGCTCAGACCCACTTGCTTCTCTAGAGAGTTCATCCTATGTCCAGGACTGTGGGTAGTTGTTTGTTTTTTCCTGTTGAAACCTAAAAGAGGAAGACACATGGTATGAACTGGAGCCCTTGTTGCTGTAGCTGGTTTCAGTGCTACAACTGAAACTCATAATGCCTTTCTTCCACATGCGTCCTAGATTGATTTCTCCTTCAGCTAGAACCCCTGCTAGTCTAGAGAGCCTATGAACAGAATTACCCACACTCTCATCTCAGAAATCTGAGCCGCTGGTCACCATGCCCTTCTCAGACCATGGTGACTGTACTTGTTCATTTAATGTCAAAATTAAGTAAGGAGTATCAAGAGACACAGTCATGGATCACCTAAGTGCTAGACATATTCTTCTCTGTGGCCATATGTAATGGCAGCCCTATCTACTCCTGCTAATAGAGGTCACTTATACCTGCCAGTGTAGGACTCCTTTCTTTATCTGCTGGTCTCTTGGACTGAAGGGCCTGAAGCGACTGAAAGCAACCATAACTTAAAGTCCAATGGGGTTCTTACTAGGTCCTCTGGTGGAAGTGTTACACCTTTTGGAACCGGGAGCCTGAGCAGAACAGAAACCACAAATTCTCTAAGAGGTCACTGAAAGTAGAGCTACTACCACTTCCACTCTGGACTCCTGAACTCATATATTCTATCAGAAACACAGCATCACAGAATAGGTGTTCACTTAAAGTCTACTATGTGTAGCTGTGCCTCAATGAGACCTTCAAAAGACCACAGCACTATTCCATCAACAGCAGGTTCTGGGTGGCATTTTAGGTAATAGGATAAGTGGATCCAATGGACATTTTATCAGTCTCCTATTGCCACTGCGACACATTTACTGGATTAAAACAAACTATCTTGTATTTCTGGTGGTCAGAAGTCCTAAAATCAAGATGTAAATAAGGCTACATTTCCTTCACGGGTTCTAGGGGAGAATTTTTTTCCTGATCTCTTCCAGCTTCTAGAGGCCACCTGCATTTCTTGGCTCCTGGCCCTTCCTCCACCTTTAAAGCCAGCAGCGTAGCACCTTCAGATCTTTCTCTTTCTCTTGCACCTCCACTCCATCACGGCATCTTCTTCTCTGACTCCGCTTCTGTAGTCACATCACTTTCTCTCACTCTCACCCGCCTGCCTCCCTCTTATCAGAACTCTTGTGATTATATGGGCCCACCTGGATAAGCCAGGATAATCTCTCCATCCGAAGATGATGCTTAACTTAATCACATCTGCAGAGACCCTTTTGCCACGTAAAGGTACATATTTACACGTTCTGAGGATTATAACATGGACATCTTGGGACGGGGGGCATTATTCAGCCCACCACAGACATGTATCTACTGTCACACATCAGATACCATAAGGTAAGTGGGCTTCTTGGTCTGAGACAATGCTTTTCAGGATCCCATATCTATGTGAGTCTTCAGATAATGGTGCTGGCCAATGAAAGTCCTGTGGCCAAAGAAGGCAAACCTATATCAGAATAGGTACTAATCTCAGTCAAGTTAAATCACTGACCCTTCCAAGGTGGAACGTAATCAACTATCCAGCCAGTGCCTGGCTGGTCTCCTTGAGGGATCATGCTGTCTTAAGGGCTTAATGTTAGTCTCTTTTGCTGGCAGTTTGTGCATTTGGCAGTAGCAGTAGCTAGATCAGCATTGCTCAGTGACAGTCCTTGCTGCAAGTTCCATGCATAACCTCCGTCCTTGCCACCCTATAGAGCCTCCATCTCTGCACCAGAGCTACTCCATCCATGTGCCTTTTGTGCCACCATCAGGTGGACAAAAACAGAGAGTAACTTCAACTGGTGGAATCGTCCTGTCTATGTGATTGTTCACTGACTCTTCCAGGTGAGATGCGATCTGAGAGGCATCATCATGAGACTGATTCAAAGATATTCATGCTTTGTGCTCACTCCAACAAGTCCACTCACCTACCTCTTTTACAGACCTTCTTCTTCCCAATCTTCTAACTTTCAGTCCCTCAACCAAAGAGCCAAGACATCTGCCACTACCACGAGTATTACATATTCTTACTTCAGACTACTTCTCTTATGTGTAAAATGAATGAGAATGTATACTGCATAAAGTCTGAACCATTGAGAGGATTTTGCCTGATCACTATCTAGTGATCCTGCACTGTCAGGATCACAGTGCAACAGCTGTCCATTTTCAGCCTGCTTCCACTTCCCAAGCCAGCCAACGCATGAAACAAGCTCAACTTTTTCCCTCCCCTACCCAAACAGCCATATATTTGAGCTTAGAGACAGGCACCAGTGCAACAGTGGGGGACAATATAGGCGTCTGGCCTCATCCTCATGCAGCTTACTTGTGCTATGGCCAGCCCATACCCAGTTCTGGGTATATCACCTCCACTTTATCATAGGTAGACATTGGGCCCACTGGACCTTATGAGTTGGTGGTCTGACAAAACGCAGCTCCCAGTGGGTGGTCCTAGCCACTTGACATATCTTGTGATCACCTGACATCTCAAGGGGAGATATTCTGTCTCTCTCAGAGCTCAAATAGTATGCCAAGAGCCATTTTTCAAACAGTGCATAATGTTTTTGCTAAAGATCACATGGTTTTGCTCCAGAGTCCTTAAGCTCTTCTTTGTGATTTTCCCACTGAAACTTCCCATTAATTCCAAAGCATCTTTTCCTGTCACTGACATCTGTAATTTCATAGGTTCTGTAACGTCGTATGGCCCAAGGAGCAGAAGTGCTTTTCACACAGCCTAGAAATGATGCAGAATTTTTTTTCTGTTCTGGGCTTCACTTAAAGCTGTCAGTCATCTGTGTCATTCAAGAAATGCCTCAAAGCAATATTTTCAAGTAAATATTGTGCCTTCAGAAAATAAAGAAAAAAGATAGGAAGAACAAGATGAGATAATTTACCCTTTAACTTGTAGGAGGTATCTGGCATGCCTCAGACATCTATGCACTCAACAAGGGGAATCTAATTCCACTAACTTTATAACTAACACCTTCCTTGAACCTCTCAAAACTTGAGCTACTGCACCTGCAGGCGCATTCACATCCACAGGTCTCCCAGCCTAGCCATCTCCAGTGAAAGTTTCAGCAATTGCACAGCTACACTTACCACATGTCAGGGCTATCAATGCTCCATATTCTATCCATCCATCATCAGTGATAGCCTATTAGTTTTCTATTGCTGCATAACAATATTACCACAAACTTAAAATGACACTGTCTTCTAGTTGCTGTGTATCAGGAGTCTGGGCATGACTTATCACTGTCCTCTGCAAGGCTCTAATCAAGATGTCAGCTGGGGATGCAGTTCATCTGAGGCTCAACTGGAAAGGAACCACATCCAAACTCATATGGTATTTGTCAGAATTCAATTCCTTGCAGGCTGCCAGGCTGAGGACTCAGTTCCTCTTTGGCTGTTGGTCAGAAGCTACCATTAACCCCTTTATCATATGAACCTCTCTGTGTGATGGCTTACAAAATGCCAACTTGCTTCTTCAAAGCCACTAAGGGAGAGATGGTCCCAGCAACATAGTTACAGTAGTATGCAACTCAATTACATAAATATAATCAAGTACATCCTGTCACTTTTGCCATATTCTATTGTTTAGGAGGAATTTGCAGGTCCTACCCACACACAAGAGGAAAAGTTTATACAAAAACAGAGATATTAGGATATAGAGATCATGACGAGGTCACCTTAGAAACTGTCCATTACAGGGGGCCCTCACTGCCACCTAACCAGTGGATAATCCAGCTCCAAAATTCCATTTCAGACTCTGGTTCTTCAGACCACTCCCCTTACAACTGAATTAAGTTGGGCTCCCTGGGAAAGAGATTGGGAAACAGATGTAGACTGGCATACAAGAAGTTTATTGTGGAGTTCTGACAATACTACTAGTGAATGAGTGAGAAAAGCAGGATTGGTTGAGAGAGAAAAATGGAACTGTAATGTAACTGCAACAGAGGCCTTAGCTAATTGCACAGAGTTCTAAGAGCTGGAATGGCTCTTCAAAATCATTCTGAATTAAGGTAAGAGTGCCTTGTCTTTGTATATCACTTTGACCAGTTATTTGATGCAGGCACCCTCTGGAGAGGGGTTGTAACCTGGCATAAGGCAGTTCCCCAAGGCCAAGAGCAACTTATGGGCAGGGGTTTAGCTTTGAGCAGCCAGCAGTCAACACTCTCAACAGCTGGGGAATAAGAGCCTCATACCTGAAGGGGTATCTGGGAGGCACACTATAGTAATCTTTAATAAAATCCAAAGGCATCATATAAAATACAGTTCAGTGAACTTTCTGATGTTTTGACTTGATTAAAGGAAGAAAATTTAGGACCCAGGGGAATGAATGGGTTTTTATGCTTTTAAGTATTTTCCATAAATACATATTTCATTCGGACAGATTACTGATAGATTCTAGATAGGGAATGTGTCCTGAGAAGATGCTAGAGTTGGTATATCAGGTAGAATGCTTTGGCTGCAAGCAACAGAATACTTCATCAACAGTAGCTGAGACAATTAGGAATTTGATTTTTACCTTGTATAAAAATAAGTTTGAAACTTTGTTCAATGGTTCTATGATGTCAGGGTCAATATTTATGATGCTCTTGGCCTTATCTCATGCCTCTTGTCTCATGGCTATGAACATCAGCCATTCTGTCCATCTTTTAGGTAGAAAGAAAGGGAGAGAGAGAGAAGTAGTACTAGCAGATTTTCCCTCACTGTGCTGTCCTGAATTGTGTCACGATGCCAACTCTAGGTGCAGGACAGACTCACAGAGAAAATATTTCACTTTTTCCGGCATCCAGAATGGAGGCAGGCAAGGAAGAAGGGGATTTAGAATGGGTGTGAGTGAGCCAACTAATATTTTCAAAGCAGATTTCTGTTTTGCTGCTTGATGTCAGATCCGCAAGCTTTCAAGACCAGATGAAAGATGATAAAATGCCATCCTTTGGCTGAGAAACCAAATCAGGTTTATTATTTGGATGGAAGACCATCTGTACCATTCAGGGTCCAATCAGGAAAACAGATAAATGCATGCCAGGTCATTAAGAGAGAGAATTGAATATGGGGAACTAATTGCAATGCTACTCTAGGAATAGAAAAGCCAAACAAGGGACAGAGATATCTACAATCCCTAGGGCTGGAGACACCAAGGAGAAAACGCTGCTACCAGGGTCCACAAGCTGGGGCTGCTCAGTGAGAACTGGCTTTACGAGAGGTTACCTAATTGCAGCTGGACCATGGAAGGAGAAGCTGTTCAGCAGGAGCTGGAACCACAGAGGAGATGTTGCCTAAAGTTGGCGGGGGTGGGGTGCCGGGAGAGAGAGAGAGAGAAATTGATTCTCCTGCTGCCTACTTGCCAGTCACCCATTTTGCCCCCAGGCTGAAGCTAATTTGAAACTAGCTGGCAAGGGAAGCCTGACAAATGGAATTTGCAGGGATCCTTCCCCTGCTGTACAGAGCAGAGCAGGAGAATGGACAGGAATGGACTCAAGAGCAAATAAGCAGATTCCTGGCACACCACCCCACCAACACTGAGGTAGACTTTAGAAGTACCTGCAGGGATGCCACAGTTTTTCTCTGCAAGCAGTGTTGTCTTTGCTGCACCACAAAAATTAGTAATTAATTCAGTTCACAACAATTTGGCATCAAATAGGTAAGATTATTTTGTCTATCCAAGAAAATTCTGTCACCACAAGTTAATTTAGGAAGACTGTGAAATATTTTTTATGACTTTTATGTTCTAAAAACTTTTAAAATAGCTTCCGGTCTAGTTTGAAGGCAAACCTGATATGATATCAAAAAAGAGGCAAAATATTCTTAAGAAAAATTTTTTATGAAGAACTGGTAAATTGGCTCCTTTTTACTTTCTAAATATAAATGTAGAAATATTCATCAAAATAGGAAGCCAAACTAGGCAAGGTCAAGATTTTGATGTTAAATTCAGATTAACCTACAGAAAATGTAAATTATAGATGATTTATAGTTTTTGAATCTGGAGAGATACCATAGCTACTAGCCTTTTGAGAAGAAACTATAGTCTGTTTTGGCTGTTACATGTCGAAATGTATCCATCAGTAAAAATTCAAAACACTTATTGAATTTATGAAGGTAGGCAATGTGTTTTGTGAGTTAACAAATTATACAAGAATGGGTATTTTAGGGAAACAACTATTGTCTTTGGATTCTATTCTTCCTGTCATGTCAAGACACAGTAAATCTTTATTTGTGGACAGGACTCTTTGTTAAGAAAACAACAAGAAAACCAACTTTCAAATCCTAATCTATATAACTCAAATTGTATAACTGTTTTGTTACTTCTAGCACAAGATTAGGACATCCCTCAAATAAGGGATCATTAATATATTAACATAATATTGACAATAATAGCTATGGCCTGCTATGTAGTATGTTAAGCAAGTAAGTCATACAGATTATTTAATTTAACCCTCAAATAATCTAATGAAGTAGGTGCTATTATTATTCACTTTACTGATGAGAAGATGTAGCATGAAAGAGGTAAAAGTCTTTGAAAAAAAAGACCATGACTAATATAGTCATTTTAGAGCCATTTAGTTATATCAGGTTATCTGGATTTGGCAATAACCCTATTAAATATATTTAAAAGAAACATTAATATGACATAGTTGCTATTCTACATGAGAATTTCAATTATCCTCTTACTATTTAATTTTAGTAATAAAGATCAATCTAATATCACGCCAGTTAAAAATGGCTTATGGCCAGGCGCGGTGGCTCACGCCTCTAATCCTAGCACTTTGGGAGGCCAAGAGGGGGCGGATCACCTGAGGTCAGAAGTTTGAGACCAGCCTGGCCAACATGGTGAAACCCCGTCTCTACTAAAAATACAAAAATTAGCCAGGTGCGGCAGTGCGTGCCTGTAATCCCAGCTACTTGGCAGGCTGAGGCACAAGAATCGCTTGAACCCGGGAGGCGGAGGTTGCAGTGAGCTGAGATCATGCCACTGCAGTCCAGCCTGGGTGACAGAGTGAGACTGTCTCAAAAAACAAACAAACAACAACAAAGAAAATGGTTTCTATCCAAAAGACAGGCAATAACAAATGTTGGCGAGGATGTGGAGAAAAGGGAACACTTGAACACTGTTGGTGGGAATGTAAATAAGTACAACCACTATTAAGAACAGTTTGGAGGTTCCTCAAAAAACTTAAAATTGAGCTACCATATGACCCAGCAATCCCACTGCTGGGTATATACCCAAAGGAAAGAAAATCAGTATATAGAAGAGATGTCTGCGCTCCTGTTTGTTGCAGCACTGTTTACAATGGCCAAGATTTGGAAGCAAACTTATTGATGTAAGTGTCCATCACCCTATAAAGGGATAAAGAAAACGTGGTACACACATACACAATGGAGTACTATTCAACCATAAAAAGAATGAGATCCAGTCATTTACAATAGCATGGACTGAACTACAGATCATTATGTTAAGTGAAATAAGCCAGACACAGAAAGACAAACATCACATGTTCTCACTCGCTTGTGGGATCTAAAAATCAAAACAATTGAACTTATGGACATAGAGAGTAGGATGGTTACCAGAAGCTGGGAAGAGTCATGAGGAGTTTGGGGAGGGGAGATGGGGATGGTTAATGGGTACAAAAAAAAAAAATCAGAAAGAATGAATAAGACCTACTATTTGATAGCATAATAGGGTGACTATAGTCAATAATAACTTAATTGTGTATTTTAAAATAACTGAAAGAATGTAACTGGATTGTTTGTAACTCAAAAGATAAATGCTTGAGGGGATGGATACCTTATTCTCCATCATGTGCTTATTTCACATTGCATGCCTGTATCAAAATATCTCATGCATCCTATAAATATATACACCTTCTATGTACCCACAAAAAAATTTTAAAGTAATAACAAAATTTAAAAAAGATTAATCTAATAACTTATAAACTATACTAAAGTTTTCAAGGTTGAAATGCTATAGTTTTAAACTTTCTGTTTTTAGGACAATTATACTTTATATAACTTTCTACATCAGTTGTGAAAACATCCTCTAGGCTAAATGCATCACAACAATGAGATTTTGAAAGAATGTGATTTGCATTCAGATATATAGTATTGAATTCACATACTTAAAAAACATATACTAATATATTTTAGGATAATTTTTCACGGATGAAAATGTCAATATATGTCAATATATAACTTAGGATCCCTGGAACCTAAATTTTTGGATGTGGGAAAACTTGGACATATAATTTACATCTTTTAAAACTACCATGAATAAAAAAGAAAAACATTAACTCATCATGCTTACAAGTTACTGAATATCCCAAGGCCCTAAAAATATAGTTGTTTAAAGCATGAGGTTAAGATAGCCAGGGGATGCAATATGTAATTTATGTTTAAAATAATTTCGATAGCCATGTTGAATTTTTCCCTTCAGCTTGGAGTACTAAATATATTCTATGAAATATACTTTATTTTAAAGTGCAATATATTTGTCAAGAATGCACTATCTTATTACCCTTAAAAAGAGAAGGTCACTGAAGAGTAAAGCATGTCTTCACTCTTCAAGCCTAAGCTTTTTCTTTTTTTTTTCCCAAATTGTTCTCAGCTACCAATTTTGTTTTTAAATTCCCCAATACATTGTTGTACAAATCCAGGAAACAAACGCAGACTTTACCACAGCATTTTCAGCAGTCTCGATGTACCTAATAATATACATACTTCCTGTGTTTGTAGTCTTGTAGCTTTAGTACAATATTAACCCTTTAAATGAAACAACACTAATCTGTCCTCTTATATACACGTTATGGTTCCTGCCCTGTTATTTACTACATCAGCACGGGTAGCTTCCTTTAAAAACAAAATCGTTAAAGATGAGAGTAGGAAAAATGTAAATGTGATAAGAGTTCAAAAAACTGTGGTCCAGGTTTGCAATGTTAAGTGGAAAAGAACGACTAAATCTGTGATCACAAGGGGAAAGATGAAGCCATAGTCTTATTACATGGGCACAGGACAGAGAGATCTCTTTTGCGAAATGAGCATACCAACCACAAAGAATAAAACATACTACGCCCGTAATAAAATGGGCACAGGCAGGATTTGCCGTAGTTCAATGCTATTCTTTGAGGGCGAATGTGTCGTGGGTGAACTGCTGTCTAGCCCATTCCGACACCCAAGCCGCCCAGGCGGCCCCCACGCCCCCCGGCTGCAGCCCTCCCTGTACACACAAATGCACACACGCCCAGCCCGGCCGCTGGAGGAACTAAGATGGCAGCGCAGAAAGCACGGGGGCCGAGCTCGGTGGGGTGGGGAAAGAAAAGCAAAGCCCTCTGTGTTTTTTCATTCTGTATAGGTCCCCCTCTTTCCCCAAACACAAGGGCTGCGTAAGGCATTCGGTAGTAGAGCTCGCAGGAGCGGCGGGAGGGGACGCTTGCTTTGCATACTGCCAGAAACCCACGTCTCCGATCTGCAGCGACGGTTCAGGCGACCCTCGCGACTTGTGACCACACTCTCCTTCACGTCCCCTTGACAGTAGAAGTAAGGGTGACTCCAAATGCCTTTTTCTTTCTGGCATGCGCCCCACTCCCCCGCCATCCCAGGGGAGCCTTCCAAGTTGCCCAGCTGCCAAGGCGGTAGCTGTGGCAGTTGCAGGGACCGGGGAGCGCGCCGTGCGGAGGCAGGAAGAGGAGGAGGAGGAGAAAAAACGCTGCACTGGCTATCAATTTTGAGGAGAGCGACCGCTGCCGCTGCCGTGGAAGGAAACGCTGCCAACCGCAACAGAAATGCCACTCTCGGATACCTAAGTGAGCATGTGTGCGACTCTGCGCACGCCTAGTTGCGCAGCTCAATGACATCGGGCTTCTTAGCAAGTTATCCAGTTTCCGGGTTTTGAGTGTACCCATCAGGCTCCGTAGGGGCCTGTCTGGGACTGAACAGCAGTAAAGATTGAAGCGAAATTAATGAATGGTGGGAAGAGCCCGGAGACCAGGGCAGCCACGCGGGTCAATGTCCACTAGAAACTCTAAATGGGCAGTGACTGCACATTCCACCACCTGAGCCTGCGCTGTAAATGTTTTCTGTGCAAGCAACATTCATTCATTCAGCCAACATCTATTTCCCTCCTGTTCAGGGCTAGACCCTGTGCTAGGAGCCTGTGATGGTTGAACAGACACCATTGCTACCCTACGGAAAACCTAGTGTTTTGTTTAGTATGTGCTACCATTTGTGAAAATTCATGTGCCAAGTTGGACATCCTAGATCCTTTAAGTCCTCCCTCAATCTCATGTAGTGGGTATTCTTTTGAGCATTATTCAGAGGAGATAATTTGCCCAAAGCCAGACAAGTATTAAGTAGCAGAGTCAGGATCCAATTCCAGGGCTGTCTGATTTCAGAGCCTTTTAGCTACCCTGCTAGGTCTTGCAATAGTAATGGGCCCTCTCATTGCTTACCTGTCAGGCCTTAGAATTCTTAGAATTTAGCTGCCTCTACACCATTGTCTTGGTTCTCACTCCAGGGTTAGGGGCTGCCTGGTCAACACTGAGGTCTTTAACTGTGCTGAAGCATTAGGATAGAAATTTAGTCTAATAAATACTTACTGGATACCTACTACATGCAAAGTCCTGAAGTGGCTGAAGGAGACACAAAAGCAGCAAGCTCTGAAGGAACTTAGGTAAGGAAACAAGACAAATACAAAAACTTAACAGGGCTAATTACAGTACTAAAATACTATGATTCCACATGTCTTGTCCTTTGTTCCTATGTTTATCCCACTGCTAATTATCTTTAAAAAAACTAAATGAAATCCATCCATTATTTAAAGCTTCAGAAAAAAATGCATTGCTTTCAGCAACCTTCCACCCTAAAACTAGAATTAATTTACTTTCCTATTCCTTGTTGTTTGCACTTCTCAAACACTAAGGAGGATTTTTTAACATTTATTTTATTTTTTTTTAAGAGAAGGCCATCCGAAGAAGAGGCACAGATATAAGAACTAGTACATAGATGAAAGATACAGTACT
The DNA here is from genome assembly GCF_000001405.40 of Homo sapiens. Taxonomy (NCBI): domain Eukaryota; kingdom Metazoa; phylum Chordata; class Mammalia; order Primates; family Hominidae; genus Homo; species Homo sapiens. Next base: position 77,328,101 of record NC_000013.11, on the reverse strand, counting down.
GGGATGACAGAACTTATAAATTATTTTGTCAGGACTGTAAATTAGGAAACTCTTCAAATTGAGAGTCAAAGGATAAAACGTAGTAGGAATCAAAGTGCATTGGCACGTATATTTCTAGAGCATATACTTAGATGGGGTTCGTAGGTTAGCTTGGAACAAAGGACTGAGCAAATGTTACTTTTTTATAGACAACAACAAGATATGTGATGGATCTGACATTTTCAGACGCTATACAGTCTCCGTCACAATTATTGTTTCAGATCGCATTCAAGAATTATCTTTAAAAATGTAAGTTTGGGCAGAAAAAAATAAACCATTAAATGACCACTGCCAAGAGATAAAAGTGCACTCTTAGGTGAGTGAGGAGTCAATAAAAAAGAGTAATTTAAAAAATATTATTGCTCCGTTGAGAACAAGAATTTGGGAATGACTCTGGCTTGTGAATACTAGCCTATCTGTTATACTTTCACACACAAAATACTTTCACACACAAAAAAGAATGTGCTAGATTACTACCTGTCTTTGTAAGTAAAAGCTGTGTTAAACAAGCGTAAATCCTAATGACAAAAACCATATAAAATAAGATCGCTAAAGGCACTTCTAATTGGGATGGTTTTCTCTGCCTTAAACTCTGAATTAACCAGCACAATTCACAGTAAATCTTCCTGTTGGCAGCAGAGCCTTGGAGAAGAGGTAGCAGAAGAGCGTGCCACTCCTCCTCTGGCGATGGGCACGTTCCCCCTTGCTTTCTGGTCCTCGTTCTTCCACCTGGAGGGAACCTGAAGTCGAACGTCAGTAGCTGACAGCCTCCCCAGCACTTTCCTTACTCTTCTTCAAGCTGCCAGTAAAACCCGGAGAAGTGGACTACTTCAGATTCCGCACAACCCAACAGCCCCAAACCCAAAGCCCCGAGGCGGAGGGAGTGGTGGCGGAGAGGGGGTGGGGAGGAAAAGGGGCGGCAGTTACTGAGCATGTGCGAGGAGTGGCGCATGCTCTGTGAGGCCGGCAGCTTCCCATTGCGGGTAGCCCCGGCGGTGGTGGCGGTGGTAGCGGTGGTGGCGGCGGCAGTGGCGGCACCGCCTCCTCCTCACATTCCCGGGGTGGCGGGGTTAGATGAGCGGCCCCAGTAGCGGCGAGGGCGGCGCGGGGGGGAGGAGGAGAAGAAGGAGGAGGAGAAGGAGGTCGCTGTCTTTGTAGTCTCCCTGCTGCGGGAGCCAGAGGCCGCCGCCGGAGCCGTCGTCGTTGGAAAAGGGCTGTGTGTGCGCGCGCGTGTCTGCCCGCCCGGCCCGCGGGGACGAGGCGGCGGCGGCGGCGGCGGCGGCGAGGATGATGATGTGCGCAGCGACTGCCTCCCCCGCCGCCGCCTCCTCGGGGCTCGGCGGGGACGGATTCTACCCAGCCGCCACCTTCTCTTCCTCCCCGGCGCCGGGGGCGCTGTTCATGCCGGTTCCCGACGGCTCCGTGGCTGCTGCGGGGCTGGGGCTGGGGCTACCCGCCGCGGACTCCCGGGGTCACTACCAGCTGCTGCTGTCAGGCCGGGCCCTGGCCGACCGCTACCGGAGGATTTATACCGCTGCGCTCAATGACAGGGACCAGGGGGGCGGCAGCGCTGGACACCCAGCCTCCAGGTGCGTCCCCAGGGTGCCCTTCCTTGCGCCCCATGCCGCCCTTCCTTGCGCCCCATGCCGCGCGTGCACCCGCGTGTGTGTGTGCTTGCGTGTGTGTACCTGCGCATTTATTGAGCTTTCAGTCCGCTCTGGATGTCTGTTGGCAGGAGCACTTATCGAGATAGGAGGGTGCGGTGGCTGCAGTTTCTCGTGTGTGTGTGTGTGTGTGTGTGTGTGTGTGTGTGTGTGTGTGTCTGCCTGCCTATGTGGGGGGATAGTGAGGGGTGGTAGGGGAACCTGTGATGCTGGAAAAGGCGATGGTGCTGGTCGGCTGTGACACGTGTGTGTATCGTTGAGGTAGGAGGTGGCATGGGTAGAGAGGGTAAGAGGATGATACACGAAGAGAATTGCAACAGTGGCAAGGGAAGTGGCGTTTTCAGTGTCTCTGCCGCAATGTTATTTGCACGTGCCGCCTCTCCCATGACATTCCTTCCAGCCCTTTCCACCTCCCTTCAATCTGCCTTTCACCAAGAGGAGTCATGGTATAGATTGGTTGAGTTTTGGATAAGCAGGCCCGAGGGATAGGCGTGAGGTTTGCTTTAAAAAGATTTATGAATAAGGGACGCAGATGGAGATCTGTGTGGATGCGAAAGGTGTCTGATAGAGATTTTTAGAGCTGTACTTTGATAACCGGGCCTTTTGGTCTTCTAGAAATGAGGTTGCAGTTACTCTTGTGATCTGATGTCCCATCGGCCATTTCTCTTCATCCTCTGTTCGATTTCCTCTGTTACTTACAGGCTTTAGAGTAGAGAGGGTTTTGTAGGGAAAAGGGGAAAACTGCAGAACTTCAGAATATGACAGCTGGTACAGCGTTCAACTGCCACTAGCTAGAAAATCTGAATAGCGCGTAGATTTGTCTCTTTTACTTGGGTTGGCTACACCTTCAGCTTCCTTGATGTAGATGTTCAGTTGGTTTCATTTTCTTTTTCTTAAAATGTGGGTGCTTTTTTTTGCTGAGGGCTCTCCTATTGTTTTCTTTTCCATGCCCTTACATGCCGCATACCCTGAAGGTTGGTGACTGACTTGTTTCACCAGCTTTGACAGTGGTAATTGGGAGTTGGCTTCATCTTTTTTTTCCCACAGCTTCTTGCAGTACATGGGGAAAACATAGTAGGAAACTGTCAAAATGAGTTAAAGAGTTTACTGTTATTTATTGAATGTGCAATTTATTAGGCAATTGTTAGGTGTCTTTTTCTCCCATTATGAAAGGGACGAGGCTGTAAGTCAGGTATTTGTAGCTTATCACTAGGTATCATGGCTTATCTGTTGGAGACAGTTGTAAAGCTGGAGCTTTGTTCACACTTTTTCTAGGTTAACCAGTTTTCTCATGTCTGTGATTGTTTACAGGATTGGGCACAGCAGTAGTTTTACCATATGGATGTAAACGTGTGTAACTATTTTTTGCTATCTGAACTGAAGGCCAGAATGGCACAAGTCTGTTTCTTGCTAATGCTTTTGAAAATAGCACAAAACTACGTGAGACAGTTTGCCCTGATAATTAGGTATAATTTTGATCTGTAAATCTCTAAATTATGGCACCGCAGGAACATCTTTACAAACTCCTCTCAAAGAATTTAAATTTATTTTGTGTATGGTTTCCAGACTTATGCAATAATTTTTGACTTGTATATTCCTGTTTTGACTTCCTACTACTAGTGTAATATGATTTCTGTGTATCTAGAACTATATTAACGGTTTTAGACAAAATTAACATAGATTAATCATATAACATTTGTGAATGATTTTTTAGCCCTTGGTCCATTTTTGTACAAGCCGTCAATGAAAAGTAATGAAGAATTAGTTCAAGTATTTCAAGAACTACTCATGGAAATCAGCATTATGTTATGATATTGCCTGCTAATGCTTGTTCAACGCAACATTATTGTTTATTTAAGTTCACATTATTTTATTACAAAAAGTAGCCTGCAACTACTCTATTGATGATTTGATTAAGAATTAAATCACATTTCTTATTAAAGATGTTGAGGAAAGTAGACTTGGGGTTTCGGCTCTGAATGAATGATAGAATTATTTGTATAGGGACACAAGTTAAAGGAGAAGATGATATCTTTTAGAGAGACTGAATGGAGCAATAATAGAGAATGAAGCTCTAGTGAGCATCAGGTTTAAAGGTGTGAGAGAAAGGAGACAGTGAAGGAAACGGAATCAAAATTAAGAAGAAAATCATGAAACAGTAGCCTCTGTGGCTCTAGGAGAGTGGATTGAAAATTCTCAGAAGTGGTAAATGTTGAAGAAAGTGAGAACCGTTTTCAGGTCATTGATAACTTTTGAGGAAGTGGTCAGAATAGAGGGATGTGGTGAGGAGTGAATGGAATGTGTTTTTGGTAACTCAAGGGGATTTCAAAGTTGAGGGAAGGATATTCAAGTATAGGAGGTTGGGTGGGATATGCAAATATGGGAGGCTAAATGGAGAGACAGAGTGAAGAAGTGAGAGAGGGGATAATTGATAGGAAAAGGTCAAAGGGATCTCAGGGACAGGAAGAGGTCAAAGGGATCTCAGGGATAGAGTTAAGGTGACAGGTGGAGAGGTTAGCCATTGAAAAAAGGAGCAGTTAATATAGAAGGGGTGGAGGTGAGTACTTGTAAATATAAAGACTGGGAGTTTATTGAGGATAGGCATCATATCCTATTCGTTTTGATAATCCCAATGTCTAGCACATTTTTTGGCATGAATTCTGTAAACATCAAGTGCCTGCTCTGTGCCAGGCAGTATTGCAGATGCTGAAGATGTAGCGGTGAGCAAGATAGACAAAGTCTCTGCCGTCTTGGAAAATCCACTCCAATGGGAGAAATAGACAACTCATAATTTCACTTAGTAATAAGTAACTGTGAAGGCAATAAAACCTATTTCATGTGATAGGGCAATTTGTAGTGGGGCTATTTTAGGTAACATGGTCAGGAAATGTCTCTTTGAGAGTTGGCATTTAAATTGAATTGCCATGATGAGGAGGCAGATGTAGAGGAAGAATGTTCTGGGAATTTATAAAGGCCTTGAAATGGGAACAGGCTTGTGTTCAAGAAACAAAAACATGATGAGTGAGTTATCAGTCAATGTCAAATGAATTAATTACTCTTTGCTTTAGGTGTACAGTTGAGAAGTTGAGAGTTTCAAACCTAATGGACTCAGTGACTTTGATGACAGTCTAACAAAGTGGTTAAGAGCTTGGGCACAGAAGCTAGACTGGTTTTGCATCCTGGTTTTGTCATTTGCTAGCTGTGTAACTTTGAGTATATTACATAACTTCTATGCCTCAGTTTTTTAAATATGTAGAATGGGGATCATAATACTAACATGAATTGTTTTGTAGATTAAATGAATCAATGTATGTGCTTGGCATGTTGACTGCTATGAAATATTAGTTACTGTTTTTTGTCTGTTTGTTTTTGCTGAGAATGAGGGGTGTGGGGACTTGAAGAGAAGGCAAGGATCATGTCTTACTCTTTTATTTTTGGTCTCAGTGACTGTGTAGAATGTGGGAATAACTCTTTCATTTATCCAGTGACTGAATAGATATATTTTTGGATGAATGAGGCCAATCAAAATCGGAACATTCTGTTGGGGAAAGGGGTTGGACAGGAAATGTATGAAGGAATGTATGATCTGTTCTGAATGTGAATGGTGGTATAACCATGCACTTGGGAGGCACCATAGCACAGTGGCTAAATGTTAGAGCACTGGAGGTAGACTCCCTTAGTTCACGTCTACCTTTTTCTACTTGTGTTAAATTGGGCAAGTTAATTAGACTTTGTCTGTTTCTTTACTTGTAACTTTGTAGTGTTATCAAAAGGACATTATGTCCGCACCTGGTAAGTGCCCATGAAATGTTACCTGTTGTTATTATTAAAATCACATTTAAAATTCCAACCAGCATGGCACTGTATGTTTTTCCACACAAAATAGAAATGGAGAAAACCTAGTTGAGTTGATTTAGGGTTAAAGAAAAAAGAAATGGAAGGTTTTGGGGACAGTGTTTGACTATATGGTAAAAAGGAAAGTGATGCCAAGAGGGAACTGATAGACTGGAAGATAAAGAGGAGTCAGAGTATCTGGGTCCTGAAGTCCTAGAAGAACAATGTTAGTGAAAACAATAGAGGGGATTGTGACCAAAATGGGGAATCTAAACTTAACCCCCTTAGTTTTTTCAGCTGCTTTATCTCTTTCTTGTTAGAAATGGTATTTGAGTCCATCCTTCAGATGCATGGGATTTTGGTTGTAAGAGGTTAAGTAGTCATTTTAGCAAAAGTTCAGGGATTATTTTATTTTACTTATTTTGAGGCAGGCTGGAGTGCAATGGTGTGAACATAGCTCACTGCAGCCTCAACCTCTTGGGCTCAAGTGATCTTCCTGCCTCAGTCTCCTCCAGTAGCTGGGACTACAGGCATGCACCACCATGCCTGGCTTGTTTTTTATTTTTTGTAGACACAGGGTCTCACCATGTTGTCCAGGCTGGTCTTGAACTCCTGAGCTTAAGTGATCCTCCCACCTCCACCTCCCAAAGTGCTGGGATTATGGGTGTGAGCCACCATGCTCAGCTTGCTCAGGGATTATTACTTGGCACTAACCATTGGCCCTATAAAAATTTATAAGACACAAATTCTAGACTTGAGTTTACTGTCTATCTGGAAGTGCAAGATACAAAGGCAGATACTTATAGAAGTGTTAAATGAAATGACCAAGAAAGTATAACCTACTATGACAAAGGCATGGCATTCTAGGCTGGCTTAAAAGCATCAGCAGAGACAGGAAAGCACAGTTTGTATGTAGGTAACAGTAGGAATTCTGTTAGAGCTAGAATGCAGGTGTCATGAAGGACAGTAGTGGAATTCATTCTGGAAATGGAGGCTTTGGCTAGGATGGGGCATCTTGAAGACCAAGGTAAGAATTAGATTTTATTCAGTAGACACTGATCACCCTTGATGGTTTTAAGCTATGAAGAGACGTTATTTATTGTAGGAATATGTCAGGAAGTAATGCGGGATTGAATCTGTATGTGTACATCTGTATTTGTGCATAGGTAGTAATTTTCTTCATGTAGCTGTTATATCAGTGGAATCCTGTATAGTGTATAAACACAAGTTAAGGCAAAAACTGCTCTATTGGTATACTGGTAGGTAGAAATGTGAAATGAATTAGTTTCCTAACTCAAGAGAAGAAAAAAATCTTGCCTCTGGGCTTAAAAGGAAAATAAAAATGTCAATCTAAAAATACTTTTGTCCTTTAATATATTTGTTTAAAAAATCAACAGAATAGTCTCACTTTTTTCTCAAAAACCAGATTAAACATTTAGGTTTTCTGAGGAGGGGTTAGGTTAATTGAGGTTTAATTTATATACAATAAAATTCATCCTCTTTAAATGTTCATTTGAAGAGTCCTGAAACTATCACCACAGTCAAGTATAGACTGTTTCCATCACTTCATATAAAAAGTTCTGTCAGGCCCTCCTACCCCTGGTTACTGACCGCTGCAAATCAGTTTTCTGTCACTAATATTTTACCTTTTCTAGAATGTCATATAAATCTAGCTCCTTAAGGGCAGGGCCCCCAGGTATTGTTCATCTTTCTGTCTTGTATCTGTATTTCCTGTAAGTGGAAGCTAGACCTTAAGGGTTTATTAGGTGTTCATTAGAAAATTTTTTAGCAAGAATATTGTATATGGCGCTGGGTACTGCATGTTGCATCCCATCCAGAGGTTGTGAGGTTGTCTCACTATTTAATATGTTAAATCTGATTACTTGGGTAAGACGGTACCTACTAGATTTCATCTCTGTAAATGTATGCTTTTTCCATTTGTAAAGAACAAGTAATCACAGGGTAAAAATTTGAGCACATTGTGAATGCCTTTTACCTAATGCTTTTAGCATTCTTTGATAATCCTTGTCTGAGTCAATAATTTCATTAGGGGTTGCAAAATGATGAATTAAAAAATAATTCTGTTATTTCTTCTATGTTTATTAGCTGGTACTCTTCTGCAAAGAAGAGTTGGCCTTCACTGACTGTCAGTGAAATGTAGTTTCTCCTAATCCAGCAGCATAAATGCTTAATTCTCTTCCCTCATTAGCCAAATTGGTGTAATAGTCCAGTGGTGGTGTGGCAGGTGCTGTGGTTAGGCTTTCAGATCCCGCTTTCAGGCACATGTTCCCCTAGCTCTTGGCAATATTGGCAGCTAAAACTGATTGCAGCTGAGTCCCACTCCACGCATTGCCCTGAGCCAAGAGTTGCCTCCCCCAGAGTCATGCCTCCTCTTCAGGGGCAGTTTACATCTAATATCTATACAGTGTAGGGATATAAATGCCTAGCGCTTTTGCTATAAGACAAGCCAACCTTGAAGTCTATCCCAACACCAGAGAGCTCTCCCATGGGTCTGGCTGAGGGCTTCCTGGGACTGCATTGCAGATCAACTCCTTCCTCTGTTCAGTCTTACGTCTTTCACTGCCCCACAGTTGTTGGTTCGGAGGGCACTCCGCAATAAACTTCCGGTGTGCACATCTGCATTTGAGAGTCTGTTTCCTGGGAACCCTCCTACCCAAAGCAGTTGGTGCCAGGAGTGGTCTCAGAAAGTAGACTTTACAGTGAGGTTTTGAAGCTGGATTATTGGCTGGCTGGCTGGCAATGAGAATCGATTCTGGTGCTAGATGGAGCACTAATACTGATAACGCTTGGCATGCACTGTAGCTATGCAACTTAAAACTTTCACTGGTGGTGAGTTGGAATGCTATTCCTGTTGAAGGGAATGCACTGGTGAGTGCACTAGGCTTTTGAGAAGTTCAGAGAAATTAATTATGAGGACAATCATCAGATGGCTTTTGGTAAATAACATTGATAGATTGGAGAAAGATGATGCAAGGTGGAAGATAATTGGGGGCAAAATGTAAAAGGAAATTTATTTAGCATCATGTAAAGAAACACATATACAGTAAGAGGAAAAATCTAAGGCTTCAACCCAAAACTTAATTTTAAGGGTAGCAGAGCACCAAGGTAGGTAGAATTCTCTCTCAGCTATGCTAAGGTCAGTGTTCTGGTTGGGCAGGAATCCTGACCCTTAGGATGGGGCATCTGAGTGCACTTGAAAACCCTGAAACCCCAAATTCCTCTTAACCCTCTGGGCCTGCAGAAGTGGCCTTCTTCTACTAGCTAGAGGGGTTGCTTGCAGACTGTGCTGTCCCTCTTACCCCCAGCTCCTCCTCTCTCGCCTACTGACTATCACCAAACCAACAACTAGGGTTAAGTCACAAGAACACCTAGTTCGGGGTGCTGGATCTGCGAAGGGAGGAAGGGACTGTACACACAAACACACACACACACACGTTCCCAAACTGCACCAAGGCACCCCAAAGCACCACCACAGACACAAAAGAATACCATGGGATATTTCAGAATTTTAAAGGAAACACAGCAATATCTGTCACAAATTACTAGCTTGAGGTAGTTCACGGTTTTGACATTAGCTCATGCCACATTTCTTTTGATGATGTCATATTTTTGCAGGGTTGGATTTTTACTAGTTGTGATACAGATCAAGCACTGTGCAAAAATCAGTGTGGAACAGGAAAGGAGGGTGGCATGTTCAGTCTGATTCCAAGTTTGAGAAGTTGTTCTGTGTCTAACAGGCACACATGTCATATTATCAAGTAATTGAAGTTTTTGTTTGTTTGTTTGTTTTGAGGCAGAGTCTCGCTCTGTCACCCAGGCCAGAGTGCAGTGGTGCGATCTCGGCTCACTGCAACCTCCGCCTGCCAGGTTCAAGTGATTCTTCTGCCTCAGCCTCCTGAGTAGTTGGGATTACAGGCGTGTCCCACCACACTCGGCTGATTTTTGTATTTTTACTAGAGGTGGGGTTTCACCATATTGGTCAGGCTGGTCTCGAACTCCTCACCTCGTGATCCGCCTGCCTCGTTCTCCCAAAGTGCTGGGATTACAGGCGTGAGCCACTGCGCCTGGCCCAGTATTTGTAGTTTTTAAGAAGGAAATAAAAATATTTTTCTTCCAATTTATGTGTTATTTTTTCAAATGTCTACTCATTTGTTAGGACATGAATTCTTGTTATTTGGATCTAACTACTTAATAAACACTACTGTTTGGTATTTCTTTTGGCCTATGAGTGCATGGAAAAATTACCGATGATGGCTGTGCATGGGCCCAATAAAAGGGTTTTCATTCACCAGTGCTGATCTAGCAACTGCTGCTGCTGAATATCCAGCCTGACAGCAGCAGAGATCAATCATCCTTCAAGCAGGCCAACCAGTCCTTATACAGTGGAAAGGACCATGATTCATTTTGATTGGATTTGAGACATATTCTGGGTCTGAATTTGTCTTTCCAGCAGGGTCTCACCCAGGACTACTGTTTGAGGGCTTGCAGGATGTTTGATCCTCTACTACAGGGATCATTTCAGAATAAGGGACCCACTGTTATGTTATGTTATGTTATGTTATGTTATGTTATGTTATGTTATGTTATGTTATGTTATGTTATGTTTTGAGACGGAGTCTTGCTCTGTTGCCCAAGCTGGAGTGCAATGGCGTGATCTCAGCTGACTGCAACCTCCGCCTCCCGGGTTCAAGCAGTTCTCCTACCTCAGCCTCCTGAGTTGCTGGGACTACAGGTGCACATCACCACGCCCAGCTAATTTTTGTGTTTTTAGTAGAGACGGGGTTTCACCATGTGGACCAGGATGGTCTCGAACTCCTGACCTCGTGATCCGGCCACGTCAGCCTCCCAAAGTGCTGGGATTACAGGCGTGAGCCACCGCGCCCGGCCGGGACCCACTTTTATAGAATAGGAGAATCATTTGTCCCATCTTGCACCACACCGTCCAGAAGCTGATGACTTGATAGAGCAGTAAAACAGTCCTTTGATGGCACAGCTGATGATGAGATCCTGCAGCTTGGGCATGATGCCCTGCAAGGGTGAGGCGCCCATTCTCCAGTGTTCCCAGTAGGAAGATCACATGAAATTAGGAGTGGCTCCGCATAGCATCACTCTGTGAATCACCTGGGCAGTTTCTGCTTCCCATCTCCATAGCTCTGATGGCAAGGGGTTAAAAGATCCTGGTTCTCAGAAGAGAAACATTTCCAACAGAGGGCGCTATGAGAATCCTGTTATACTTTAAAGTACAGCTGCCACTAGGATTTGGGGCTCCTTTTCTAAATAAAGAAGTCACCAGGCTGGGCACGATGGCTCACGCCTGTAATCCCAGCACTTTGGGAGGCCGAGATGAGTGGATCACGTGAAGTCAGGAGTTCGAAACCAGCTCAGCCAACATGGTGAGACCCTGTTTGTACTACAAATACAAAACAATTAGCCGGGCATGTTGGCGCGTGCTTGTAATCCCAGCTAATTGGGAGGCTGAGTCAGGAGAACTGCTTGAACCTGGGATGTGGAGGTTGCAGTGAGCCGAGATTGCGCCACTGCACTCCAGCCTGGGCAATAGAGCAAGACTCCATCTCAAAACAAAAAAAAAACAACAAAAAAAGAAGTCACCATTTGGACAGGGTTAATGTCCTTGTTCATGTGGAGGAGGTAGGGCTGTGTTCCACAGTGGAGCATGGAGGTTTGGCACACAGGTGATCTATAAGGTGTCTCTTGGTACTTCCTTGTCCAGTGTTTGTGGTAAATGGACACGAGAAAGGCCCAGTGACCACCCCATGAAGTCAGCCACCTGGACCAACAGAAATACTAGCCATAGATTAAAGGAATCTAGAATGGCTAGTAGAGAAGAGTTGTTGATATCAATTTTACCGTCTGTAGTGGCTGGGGCTGTGGTTTGACCCACTTTCCTTCCTCTGGAAAGTTTCTCCAGGAAATGACACTCACCAGAATTCTGGAGGAACTTTTTCCATGCCTTATTTGAAGCAAGTGAATCCTAATTGTATAATAGGCGAAATATAGTGAATCCTGTATTGTGGAACCCAGAGCCCCTGCCCAGCACTGATGTGCTCAAAATTCCCCCACGACTGCTGGGAACATTGGTTGGCTACAGACTCTTCCCTAGTTCCAATATGGGCATTGCCTTTGGCAATAGGTGATGGCCCTAGGTGATGGATCATTCTTGGGGGCAGCCTGAATGAACTGGTTGATCGGGGCATTTTATGGTTTTTAGTGCTACTGTAACTAGTTTAGTTTTTCCTATTTTTCAGTTGTTTGATATGAATATATAACAATACAGTTGCTTTTGAATGTTAACCTTGTATCTCTGATCTTGTTAAGCTCATTTATTAACTTTAATAGTTTTGTAAATTCCCTGGGATGTTCTGTGTAAATAATCATATTGTCTTTCTTTCTGATCTCTAGATTCTCCTACCCCTCAGCCCCTACTTTATTCCAATTACTTAATTCTCCCTTGTTTTTAATCTGAGAGAAAAACAACTACAAATTAATCTTACAGTTTTTTAAATCATTAAGTATGATATTAGCTGTAGGTGTTTCAATGGCCTCTATCAATTTGAAGATATTCCCTAGTATTCCTACTTTGCTGATAGTTTTTATTTTTTATATTTTAATTTTTTTTTTTTTTTTTTTTGAGACAGAGCCTTGCTCTGTTGCCCAGGCTGGAGTGCAGTGGCATAATCTCGGCTCACTGAAGCCTCTGCCTCCCGGGATCCAGCAAGTCTCCTGCCTCAGCTTCCTGAGTAGCTGGGATTACAGGCACACGCCACTATGCCTGACTAATTTTTGTATTTTTAGTAGAGATGAGATTTCACCACGTTGGCCACTCTGGTCTTGAACTGCTGACCTCAGGTGATCCACCTGCCTCAGACTCTGAAAGTGCTGGGATTACAGGCGTGAGCCATCGCACCCGGCTTGCTGATAGTTTTTAATTATAAATGTGTATTGAGTTTTGTCAAATGCTTTTCCTCTACCTGTTAAAATGATCATATAGTAAGAGAACAAAAGGAAAATTGAATTACATTAATTAATTTTTGAATGTTAAATTAACTTTGCATTCCTGGGATAAAACCATCATATTTGGAATGTATTGCTGAATTTGATTTGCTGGTATTATGCTAAGAATTTTCAGGTTTATATTCATGAGGGATATTGGTCTGTAATCGGTTTTTTTTCTTTTCTTTTCTTGCTAATCCTGTCAGGCTTTAGAATTAGTTATCCTCGTCTCATAAAGTGAGTTACATAGTAATCCTACCCTACCCAGTCCTACCCAATTTTTAAAATGTTTGCGTAAGATTGTTGTTATTTCTTCTTGAATGTTTGACAGAATTCACCAGTGGCACCATCTGGTCCTGGAATTTTATTTTGGGGAAGCTTTTGACAAATTCACGTTCTTTAATAGTTAGAGCGTTATTCAGATTTTCTGTTATTATTCATGTCAATTTTGGTAACTTGTATTTTTTTGGAGAAGTTCATTCATTTCATACTTCTAAGTTGTTGAAGTTTTTAGCATGAAGTTATCCATAGCATTCTTTCATTATCCTTTAAGGTCTATGGGATCTCTGATAATAACTCCCTCCTTTTTTAAAAAAAATATTTTTTTAAGAGCAGTTTTAAGTTCATAGCAAAATTGAGAAGAGGGTACAGAGATTTTCCATCTATCCCTTTCCCCCACTCACGCATAGCCTCATCCATATCAACATCCCCCACCAGAGTGGCATTTTTGTGGCCATTGTTTAACCTCCACTGACACATCATAATCACTCTCAAGTCCAGAGTTTACATTAGGGTTCACTCTTGGGGTTATACATTTTTTGGTTCAGAAAAATGTATAATGACATGTATTTATCACTGTAGTATCATACAGAATATTTTCACTGCCCTCAATATCATCTGTGCTCCACCTATTCCTGTTTCTCTGCCACTCAACCCCAGGTAATCACTTACTGTCTCCATAGTTTTGCCTTTTCCAGAATGTGCTATAGTTGAAATCATACAGTATGTGGCCTTTTCAGATTGGTTTCCTTCACTTAGTAATGTGCATTTAGGTTCATTCTTTTTTTGTGTATGAGACTTGATAGCTCATTTCTTACCACTGAATAATCCACCATGTAGATGTACCAGAATTTGTCTGTTCACCTACAATTTGGTGAGTTTGGAGGACAATTGGGTTGCTTCCAAGTTTTGGCAATTATGGATAAAGCTGCTCTAAACATCTGTGTGCAGGTTTTTGTGTGGACATACATTTTCTTTTTTAGAAATTGACAAATGACATTGTATGTTTTTATAATGTACAGCATGATGTTTTGAAGTACATATACATTGGGGAATGGTTAAATCTAGTGGACATGTTTTCAGCTCCTTTGGGTTAATACCAGAAACAGTGATTGTGGGATCACGTGCTAAGAGTAGGTTTAGTTTTTGTAGGAAATCACCAAACTGTCTTACAAAGTGGCTGTTTCATTTTTCATTTCCACCAGCAATAAATGAGAGTTCCTCTTGCATTAAAGCCTCGCCAACATTTGATGTTGTCTATGTTCTGGATTTTGGCCATTCTGATAGGTGTGTAGTAGAATCTCGTTTTTTTTTTTCATTTCTCTGATGACATATGATGTAGAACATCTTTTCATAACGCTTATTTGCCATCTATATATCTTGTTCGGTGAGGTGTCTGTTAAGGTCTTTGCCCCATCTTTAATTGAGTTGTTTGTTTTCTTATTGTTAGAGTTTTGAGAGTTCTTGGTATTCTGTGAGGGTGTAACTGAGGAGATGGGGAAAAAAGTTCTTGGTATTTTGGATAACAGTCCTTTATCAGATGTGTCTTTTGCAAATATTTTCTTTCAATCTGTGCCTTGTCTTCTCGTTCTCTTGGCATTGTCTTTTGCAGAGCAGAGGTTTTTAATTTTAGTATTCAGCTTATTAATTATTTCTTTAATGGATTGTACCTTGGTGTTGTAGCTAAAAAGTTATCTAGGTTTTCTCCTGTGTTATTTTCTAAGAGTTTTATAGTTTTGCATTTTACATATAAAGTCCGTTTTCCATTTTGAGTTAATTTTTGTGAAGGGTGTAAGGTTTGTTTCTAGATTCATTTCTTTGTATGTGATCCAAAGAACCAACTTTTGGCTTTCTTAATTTTCTCTATTATTGATCTGTTTTCTATTTCATTGGCTTTTCCATCATCATTGTAATTTATTTCTTTCTACTTTCTTTAAGTTTACTTTGCTGTTCTAATTTCTTAAGGTGGAATCCTAGGCCATTGATTTTAAATTTTTCTTCCAATATAAGTATTTAAAGCTATGAATTTTTATCTGGGCTGTGCTTTAGTTACATCCCACAAATTTTGACTGCTATATATTTGTCATTTAGTTCAAATTATTTTCCAATTTATTGTTTAAAATTATTACAACTTTCAGATATGGTGTTTTCTTACATATTAATATATTATTGTTATTACTTTCTAATATAAACCTTGTATGATTTTGATCTTTAACATTTATTGAGATTTGTTTTATTGCCCAGGATATGTTCTGTCTTGGTGATTGTATTATACACACTTGAGAAGAATGTGTTCGGTCATCTTTGGACATGAAGTTCTATAAATGTCAGTTAAAGTTGGATGATAAGTGTTGTTTGGATGTTTATGTTTTTATATTTAAAGTTTCTCCTCTTAGGCAACTAGTATAGAACCTTGCCCTTAAAAAAAGAAATCCACTGTCAATCTTTGCCTTTCAATTGGAGTGTTTAGATTATTAATATTTAATATGATTAATTATTGACATATTTACCATATCAACAGTGATAGGTCTGCCACTTTATTGTCTTCTGTTTCTCTTTTTTTGTTCCTTTCTTCCTCCTTTTCTGCTTCTTTGGGATTATATTTTGGGATTATTGGGAGTATTTCATTTTAGTTGCTCTATTGGTCTTTTCAGCAATATCTCTTTGTATTTACTTTTTTTATGCCCTAGGGATTACAGTATGCATACCTAACTTTTTACAGGCTACTTAGGGTTATTATTATACTAATTCACTTAAAACACAGAAACCTTGCAACCCTACAGATCCTTTTATTCTCCCCTCCCCCAGAGACCTTTATGTTATAGTTGTCATGCATACTATACTTGGCAAACATCACCAAACAATGTTATAGTTTTTGTTGTCGACAGTCATGTGTACTTTATAGAACTTAGAGGAAAAATCTAGTATTTTGTGTTTTCCTATATATTTATTGTTTCTATTGCTCTTTCTTCATTCCTGAAGATGCAGCATTTCCTTTCAGCCTAATGTTGACCTTAGCTTTTCTAGCAGATCAGTCTGCTGGGGATACATTCTCTTTGTTTTTCTTTGAGAATGTATTTATTTTACTTTCATTCCTAAAGGATATTTTAGGTGGATATATAATTCCGAGTAGATGCTTGCTTCCTTGAGCACCTCAATGATGCCATTTAGCTGTCTTTTCACTTCTCTGATTTCTGGTGAAAAATCTTTGTAATGTAAACCTTATTCCCCTCTGTGTGGTGTGTAATTTTTTTCTAGCTGCTTTCAAAAATTTTTTCTTTGTTTTTGGTTTTCAGCAGCTTAATTTGATGTGTATCTAGTCATTTTCTTTAAGTTTATCCTCTTTGAAGAGTACTGAGCTTCTCAAATCGGTAAATTTTTGGCTTTCACTAAGTTTAGAATGTTTTCTACCATTGTGTCTTTCTTCTGACCTTACAAAATTCTAGTGGCAATTATGATAAAACTTTTGAGATTGTTTCACAGGCCTCTAACTGTTCAGTCTCCTATCAATTTTTTTTCTCTGTTTTTCAGATGAGGTTATTTTTATTGATACACGTTCAGGTTCACAGACTCTTTTCTCCCATCTCCATTTTCTTATTGAGTCCAACCAGTGAACTTTTTATGTATTGTTTATTTCACTTTTAACATTTACATTTGGTTCTTTAAAAAAAAAACAAAAAAAAAAAAACAAAAAAAAACTTCTCTTTCCCTGCCGAGAACCTCTTTCCATTCCATTCAGTTGTCCTTGTCTTTCCTCAATGTAGCATATTTATAGTGGTTGCCTTCCAGTCATTGTTGGATAATTACAACATGTGCATCGTCTTAGGGTTGGCATCTTTTGATTGTCTCTTCCCTTGAAGTTGTTCACATTTTTCTTGTGTTTTGCATTGTGAGAATTTGGGATTGTATCTTGGACATGGTTAATGTTATGTTTTGTAAACTCTAGGGTTTATTATAATTCTCTGGAGGATGTTGTGTTTTTTGTTGTTTAGGGGATCCCTTTCTGTGTCTTACTCTTTTTCAGGACTTCTTACCCATTTTCCATCATATCAGTTTCTTTTCTCAGTTCCTCTGGCCAGAAAGAGTTTTAACTTGGAATTTTAACTTTTGGGTTGTAGCCCTGTAATGCAGTGATCTCTTCCTGGCCTTCAGGCAAAGCTGTTAGTGAAAGGAGAAAAACAACCAAACTGGGAAATTTACTCTTCTGTGAATCACTTTTCCAAGTTTTGACTCCCCTCCAGAATTTGCTTTTATTTGTTTTTCAGAGTCCTGAAGTACTTTTTTTGTCTTTTTAAAAATTTTGCCCAAAGTAGTTGTAAACAGTGGGGAAAATAGGCTGTTTTGGGGTTTATGCCAATGTACTGGAACCAGAACTCTCTTATCTGGCTTTAAAAAAAGATTTTCCCTTTTATTGATTTTTAGCAGCTTGACTGTATTGTACCTAAATATGGTGTGTGTGTGTGTGTGCATGCGCACGCACACACGTCTGTGTCTCTGTGTGTGTGTATCCTGCTTGGTATCCTTTCAGTTTGTTAGATCTGTGTGATGTCAATTTTTATTTAACTTGCAAATTTTGGCCTTTATTTCCTCAAATATTATTTCAGACTCAATTTCTTATTTCCTTCTGGGAATCCAATTATATATATATGATACTGTTTGATATCATATGTGTCTATAATCATATATATGACATATTTATATGACCAGATAGTAAATAACTTAGACTTTATGGGCCATAGAGTCTCTGTTGCAACCATGCAGCTCTGTTCTTTAGTTTGAAAGCAACCACAGACAATATATATAAATGGATAAGCATGGCTGTGTTCCAATATAACTTTATTTACAAAGATAGACAGGAAGCTGTTTTTGGCATGTAGACTATAGTTTGCTGACCCCTGAGTAGGTGGTAATCGTTGCTGGAGCTACATTGTGAATTCAGGGAATCAAAGAAGTGCAAAACAGAAATGTTGGAAATAACTACAATGTAGGTAGCGGGGTGCATAAAAATGAGGAGGTAGGAGATATGGCTAGAAAGATATGTTAGGACTAGGTTATTATGTTCCCTGTATTGCTTTATTTGAAAATAGTATGGAACAATCATAGGGTATTTTTTGTTTGTTTTCTTTTTTTTGTCTGTTTTTCTGAGACGGAGTCTCACTCCGTTGCCAGGCTGGAGTGCAGTGGGGCGATCTTGGCTTACTGCAACCTCCGCCTCCTGAGTTCAAGAGATTCTTCTGCCTCAGCCTTCTACATAGCAGGGACTACAGGCACCCACCACCACGCCCAGCTAATTTTTGTATTTTTAGTAGAGATGGGATTTCACCATCTTGGCCAGGATGGTCTTCATCTCTTGACCTCGTGATTTGCCCGCCTCGACCTCCCAAAGTACTGAGATTACAGGCGTGAGCCACTGCGCCCAGCCAATCATAGGTTTTTAAGCAATGTAATGGTAGAGTTAAACTTTCAATTTATAAAGATAATCTCTAGTAGTGTTATAGAGGATGAATGAAAAGGAGCAGATCTGCAAAGCAGGGCTACCTTTAAAGAGACAGTTGCAGTAACTCTGACAAGTGAAAATACTGAGAAAAGATAATGGGAATAGATGGAATAAAGTGGATTTAATGATATATTTAGCAGGTGACTAGATCTCAAGTGCAAATATAATAATGATTTTCATCTAGATAGAAAGGGAGGAAGAGCTAGTTTCTCAAGAGTCCATTCTTGGGATTCTTCTCTCTGAATTTTCTTCTTTGGTTGTCTCAGGCTTATGATTTCAGATATGCATTTGACTTCCTGGTCTGTGGTTTTTAGGTAAAACCTCTTTTCTTAAGTTCTAGCCTGTATTTTGAAAAGTCTACTGCTAGGATTCTCTCAGTCCTGTTCAGATACATTATGTTCAGTATATTCAAAGTCTCCTCGTGAACATACTGTCACTCACAAACTGCCTCTTTTCCCTTAGGCCAGTGAAACCGAAGTCTGAGATAGGTTCTTGAGGTTGGCAATAAGAAATTATAATGAGCCAACACCCACTCACTTCACCTCCTTTTTTCAGGAGGCAGGGAAAAGTGGGAAAGTGAGGCTGGACATGGGAGTATTTAGAAATAGTGTTTAATAATGTTTAAAGGGCAAGAAGGAAGGCAGTAGCTTAAGGAAGGAGACAAATAATTAATCTTTTGGATTAGATAACCTGTAGGAGATGTTCTTAGTGTCCTAGCCATATCCCTTTGGCATCCATTTGCATACTGTCTTCTGCAAACATCTATGACTATCTGCCTGAAAAGAAACACACTTGGCCTGTGTGCAGGGCAACTCACATGCGCCAGAGAGTTAATGCCTTCAGAAAAACTTTCCACCAGTGATGGATGGGGAGTTGGTAGATAAATACCTTTGTCTCACCTGCATTTAGGATAACTGAGCCATGTTTTCTGCTGTCTACCAGAGTTCTCCACTGGTTCAGGCCCTAGTTCCCCATCAGGGTAACTGGCTTCATAATATGTCCTTTCTTGACTTCCTTCTTTTCCCTGTTTTACTTTTGTTTTCCCTACTGGTGTTTTTCCTGGGATCACCTCTCAAAATAACTACTGCACTTGAATTCTTGAATTGACGTCTGCTTCTGGGGAAACCCAAACCAAGGTAGACATTTGAATTTGGCATGGGAATAATAATAAAAATGTGTTTAGCACTTACTAAATACCAGGCATAATTCTAAGTGTGACATCATCCAGTGGGAGAGGTACTGTTTTCACCCTATTGTATGGATGAGAGAACTGAGGCACAGAGAGATTAAAGTAATACCAAGATCACAGTGCTGGTAAATGACAGAGCTTGTATTTGAACCCAAGTCATTTGTTTCTAAATTCTGTACTCTTAACCTATCTTGACATAGCAGGCTGAAGGAAAAGGGCAAGGATAGTAAAAAAGAGAGAGAGAATGGGAATAATTAATAGAGTAAGGCCCTGGGTTAGAGATCATTTCAAGGTGGGTGGAAGAAAAGCAAAGGGAGTACATTTGTAATGGTGTCTCTATTTTATTGGTTAAATAGATGGTTAGATTCTCTGCTCTGAGTTGATGGGTAGGGGAGGGATTTTGAAGTAGCTGGAAAGGTTCTAGATTTTTATGGTAGATGTACCTTGATAGAGAACTTAACTGGCTCTAGACCAGCAGTCTAATGATGTTCAGTAACTCCAATAGCTATTATTGTTTAGGGTTGTTATAGCTTATTGAACAAGGTTTGTAACTAACCAGTATAGAAGTGAATATAGAACATGAGCAGATAGCTCACATTAGAAGTGATATATGTAGTAAAGACTTAAGGGACAGGAAGAGGAAGAAAAAGGAGCCAGTAAAGAAGACTGAGAAGGAACCACCATCAGAGGTAGAAGGAACACTAAAGTAGAGGTTCTAGAAGCTGGCGGGACAGGGGGCAGGGATGTAAAGAAGTAGGCACTGTTTGGTAGTTATCGTATGTAGGAGAATGTGAAGGATAAAGACTGAAGATGGGCAGTTGAATTGGCTACTAGAAAGTTTGTGGTATTGAGAAGTCTCATAGACTTGCATGAGTTTGATAGTAAGGTGTTAAAAAACTTCAATACAATGAAGTTTTTTTTTTTTTTTTTTTTTTTTTTTTTGAGACAGGGTCTCACTTTGTCATCCAGGCTGGGGTGCAGTGGCATGACCATAGCTCAGTGCAGCCTCTAACTCCTGGACCAAAGCGATCTTCCCACCTCAGCCATCTGAGTAGCTGGGACTACAGGCACATGCCACCGTGCCTGGCTAATTTTTTTTTTTTTAATAGAGACGGGGTCTTGCTATGTTGCCCAGGCCAGGACCATTTTTTTCTTCAAGAAATTTAGTGATGAAGAGGGATAGAGGATTACTTAAACTTTTTTCCCCTTTTGAATTGGAGAATGACAGTAGGCCTCTAAGGTTAGAAACCACAGAAAAAAAGCATAAAGGGTAAACAAAGAGAGGGATGTATGGTTGAGCAAAATCTCAAGGATGGTGAATGAAATGGGATCTGGTGTATGAGAGGAAGTGCATACTTGGATAGAGTAAGAGCTGTCTCTTTTGGGATGGGGGAAGGAGGAAGTTTCAGATTTGAAAAGGTCTCAGGGACATATTTTTAGCCTTTTTATGTTTCTGTGAAGAATTCCAGATTCTTTTTCTGATCTGTTTTCTAGATCTTAAATTTTCTATTCAGCTGTGTCCTGTACACTTAAATCCACCTATGGAGTCTGTAGTGTCAGTTATTTTTCATGTCTAGTTTGATTTTTTTTCAAATGTGCTTGGTTGTTCCCCATTCCCTGCAGATATTTTAATGATAGTCTTTTATTTCTTTAAATTTGATACACATGTTCTTGTTGCAATCTTTCCGAAAATCCCACCATCTGAAGTCTATATAGGTGTCTTTCTGTTGCCTAGTTCTGCTGTTCTCACTCAGAGTGCCTTGTATCTCTGTGTTCTTAGTTATTTGCTTGCTCTCATTCCTCTTGTTGTTCTCTGAGGCCTGGGATGAATAGATTGTATTCATGATATCATTAGAAAGTGTTACAGTTTTACAATTGCTTCAAGGCTTGAGTTTCCCTGGCCTACCTAGCCTATGTTTACTTAAGAGTACAAATATGCATGAGGCAGGGTCTATAGCCAAAGCTTTTCAGAGAGTTCTCTTCCCCTCACTTATGCTCCCTTCCATATTCCCCTACCCTCTTTTCTTTTTCCTTCTGCTGCTCTGCCCATTGCCAAGGTAGCTTTATTTATAGTCCTCCCCCCATGTGAAGACTTCCAAATAAGATCAAGAGACTGAAGCTATATATAAGAAATCTGTTTTCATCTCTCCCCTAAATCAAGTTGAACTGTTAAAATCTCTTTCTTATTACTAATTAGCCGGCTAGGTTAAGTAAATAAAAGTTTTCTACTTAGTAATGAGATAACTATTCCTCCCTAATTTATTCATTGATGCTTGAACATGATAGGAGTATCATTACATTAATTACACAGAATGAATCTGGCTTCTATGGAAAAGCTTCAGTTTACATAAGGTGCTTCATAGATTGATTTTTAAAAGTTGGTCTTGTATCCAGTGACCTTGATAATTCCCTTGTTAATTCTTTATTTGTGGATTATTTTGTATTTTCTATAAATATAATTATCTACAAATAAAAAATGCTTTACTTTTAATTTTTAACCATTATGACTTTTATTTCATTTGCATCACTTACTGACCTTCAATATTGTGTTAACAGAAGTGGTGATAGTACAAATCCTTGCATTTTCCTCCTATGCCTAAGTGGAAATACTTAATTTTTCAACATTCAGTATAGTTGAATACACTGTTAAAAGTAGGTTTTTTATAGATAATCTGTATTAGATTAAGTAAAATCTGTTCCTGGTTCACCAAGGAGTTTCATCACTAGTGGTTGTTGAGTTTTAAAAATACTTTTTCTGTTTCTATTGAAGTGATCATATGTTTTGTTTCTTTTGTTCTGTTATTATATTGAATTATGTTGATTATGTATTTATTCTTTCCACATGTTGTTAGACAAAATTATTTGTAGGTAAATGGCTCTCTCTTTTTTTAAAAATAAAAGGGGTAATACACATACCATAAATTCACCCTTTTATACAACTTATTGGTTTCCAGTATATTCACAAAGTCATACAACTAAACATTTTTGTCTCTCCATAAATCCCAAAGCTATTAGCAGTCAGTTTCTATTCTCCTTTCTATCAGTTTTTGGCAACTACTACTTCCTGTTTTTATGAATTTGCCTACCTAGACATTACATATAAATGGAATTATACAATTTATGACCTTTTGTTGCCATTGTTTCTTTCACTTAGCATAATGTTTTCAAGGTTCATCCATGTTGTAGCATGAGTCAGTACTTCATTCTTTTTTTATGGGTAAACAACATTCTCTTATATGGAAGTGCTACACTTTATACATTCATTAGTTGGTGAGCATTTGGGTTGTTGCTATTTTTTGGCTGTGCAGTATTTTTGCTTCTATGTTCATAGGAGATATTGGTCTGAAATTTTTGTATTTTGAAATGTTCTCTTCAAATTTTGATATCAGAGTTATGCTTGTCTTATGAGTTGGGAAATGTTTCTTCTTTTTATATTGTCTAAAAGAGTCTAACATTGATAATGTTTGAAAGAACTACCAGTGAATTTTTAAAGTATTTGGAAGAATTCACCAACAAAGCCATCCGAGTCTAGAGTTTTCTTTGTGGATAGATTTTGATTAGGGATCCAGTTTTTTTTCAATATATAGAAGACTATTCAGATATTACATTTTTTTTCCCTTGTTTAATGTTGAGAAGTTACATTTTTTCAAGGAATTTATCCATTTTATTTGTCAAATTTATGGGCAGCATCTGTAGTGATGTCTCCTTTCTTATTTCTCATATTGGTAATTTGTGCTTTTACTTTTTTCCTGACCATTTTTGCTCTAGGTTTATTATATTTATTTCATTTTATTTTAAAATATTTGCTATATATTTAATTCACAAATAATTGTACTTATACATGGGGTATAATATGATATTTTGATACATGTTTACAATGTGTAATGATCAAATCAGGATAATTAGCATATTTATCACCTCCGACATTTATCATTTTATCATTTCTTTGTCATGAGACCATTCAAAATCCTCTCTTCTAGCTGTTTGAAGTTGTATAATACATTGTTGTTTATGATAGTCACCCTGTGGTGCTATATAACACTCAAACTTACTCCTACTTTCTAGCTCTGATTTTGCATCCATTAGCCAACCCCTGGCTACTCTTCAACAACTCTTCTACTTTCTACTTTTATGAGATCAACTTTTTTAGCTTCCACATATGAGTAAAAACATGCCATATTCATCTTTCTTTGCCTGGCTTCTTTAACTTAAGATAATGTCCTCCAGGCTCATCCACGGTGCTGCAAATGACAGAATTTTACTCTTTTTTAATCACTAAATGGTATTTCATTGTGTATATATATCACATTTTCTTTATCCATTCATCTGCTCATGGAAACGTAGGTTGATTCCACATCTTGGCTATTGTGAATAGTGTAGCAGTGAACATGGGAGTTCTGAATCTTTTCAACATACGGATTTTTTTCCTTTGGATATACACCCAGTAGTGGAATTGCTGGATCATATGGTAGTTCTGTTTTTAGTTTTTTCAGGAGCCTCCATTCTATTTTCCACAATGGTTGTACTAATTCACATTCCCATCAACAGTGTAGTTCTACTTTCTCCACATCTTCAATAGCATTTATTTTTTGTCTTTTTGTTATGTATACTAATCTTTTCAGAGAACCAATTTTTGGCTCCCTGATAACCTCTATTGAATGTCTGCTTTCCATTTCATTGGTATCTACTCTTATTTTTATTTCCTTTCTACTACATATTTTGCATTTAATTTGTGGTTTTCTTTCTAGCTTCTTGAGTTGTAAGTCTAGATAATTTACTTTCAGTGTTTTTTTTTTCAGTATATGCATTTATGTGTATGCAAAAGGAGATGCATTTTGTGGAAGTACTGCGTTAGCAGCATTCTACCGATTTTGTTATGTCAAATTTCATTTTCATTTTATGGAAAATATTTTCTGATTTCCATTGTGACTAGTTCTTTGACCCATAGTTTATTTAGAAGTCTTGTTTTTTTGATTGCCAAACATTTGGGAATTTCTTAGTTGTTTGTTTTTTTTTAATTTCTCGTTTAATTTTTCCATGACCAGAGAATTACCTTATCATTCAGTCCTTGGAAATTTGTTTAGACTTGGTCTGTGGTCCAGCATATTATCTATTTTGGTAAATGTTCTATATGCACTTGAAAAGAATATGTATTCTATTGTTGTTGGATATGTTTCTGTATGTATGCCAATTAGGTCAGGTTGATTAATCATGGTTTGTTTGTTTGTTTGTTTTGAGACGGAGTCTCGCTCTGTCGCCCAGGCTGGAGGACAGTGGTGTGATCTACGCACACTGCAACCGCCACCTCTCGGGTTCAAGCGATTCTCCTGCCTCAGCCTCCTGAGTAGCTGGGATTACAGGTGCGTGCCACCACGCCCGGCTAATTTTTGTATTTTTAGTAGAGACGGTATTTCACCATGTTGGTGAGGCTGGTCTCGAACACCTGACCTCATGATCCACCTGCCTTGGCCTCCCAAAGTGCTGGGATTACAGGCATGAGCCACCGCGCCTGGCCGATTAATCATGTTTTCAAGTTTTTCTATGTCAGTGCTGTTTTGGTCTCTACTTGTTCTATCAGTTACAGAGAGGTATGTTAGAACTTACTCTTTCAATTGTGGATTTGTATTTTCCCATTTAACTTCTGTCAATTTTACTTTATATATTTTGAAGCTGTGTTACTGGATGCATTCAAATTTAGGAGTGTTATGATTTCCTAATGATTTGACCCTTTTGCCATTTAGAAATGCTCTTTTCATTTCTTTTAATACTGTTGCCTTAAAAATTACTTTGTCAAATATTAAAATAGCCACTCCAACTTTTTTTGGGACACTGGAGAGTGTGCTTGAGATACATCTTTTTCTGTCCTTTTAGCATGTATCCTTTCATTTAAAATTATGATATTACAGTTATTAAAGGAAGACTTTCCTTCAGTATTTCTTGTAATATTGGTCTCTTGACAGTGAATTATGTCAGCTTTCATGGATCTAAAAACATCTTTATTTTTGTCTTCATTCTTACAGGATACTTTTAGAATCCTTTATGTGAATTATATCAGCTTTCATGGATCTAAAAACATCTTTATTTTTGTCTTCATTCTTAAAAGATACATTCTTAAAGGTTACATGATTCCAGGTTACTTTCCCCCACCTCTAACCCCCATCCCTCCACTCTACCACCTCCCCCTCCCCACCCCCCAGCCCTTTTCAACACAAAGAATGGAAACTATCAATTTTATTGTTCCTTTAAGCATATCTCTTCTCTGGCTGCTTTAAAGATTTTCTCTTTATGCTTTGCTTTTAGCAATATGACCATGCTGTGCCTAGGTATGCTTTTCTTTGGATTTTCCTGCTTAAAGTTCCCTGAGTTTCTTGAATCTCTCAGTTGATTTCTTTCTTCACTTTTGGGAAATTGTCAGTAATTATCTTGTCATATATTGCTTTTGTTCCATTCTTTTTTCTCTCTTTCTGGGATTCCAATTATATGAATATGAGACCATCTGACTTTGTCCCACATGTCTCGTTCTCTGTTTGGTTCATCCCATTTTTGTTTCCGTGATTGAATTCTGTTATTTATTTATTTATTTATTTTTGGCCTGTTTGCAAGTCTGTGAAACCTGTTTTTCTGTAACTTACTCTGCTTTTAAAATCATATGAGAAGTTCTTAATTTCAGATGTTTATTTTTCAGTTTCAGAATGTCCACTTGGTTCTTTTTTTATAAATTATGTTGAAAATTGCCAATTGCATTATTTTACACATATTGTTAATCTCTGCATCTCAGGTACTTGCCTCCTAACGTTAATATCTGGGTTTTCTGTGAGTCTGACTAATTTTCTGGTTTTCTCTTGATTATGTGTCTGCCACATATTTTGCTTCTTTTGATGTCCCTTAATGTGTTTACTTAGTGTCCCCGAACTAGACTAACACTGTGTATGAATGAACATGATTTTCTTTCAGATCATGTGTTTTCTCCTAGAGAGGTGTGCTCTTTGCTGTGTCAGACAGATAGAATGAGGAGTTTGATTATCTCAATCCAGTGAGGGATTACATAGACCGCTCCCTCCCTCTACTAGGATTCTGTCTTCTTACGGAAGTTTTCTCTTCCCTTTTGACCCAGCCTCTTTTTTTTTTTTTTTTTTTTTTTTTTTGAGATGGAGTCTTGCTCTGTAGCCCAGGCTGGAGTGCAGTGGCGCGATCTTGGCTCTTGGCTCGTCACAACCTCTGCCTTCCAGGTTCAAGCGATTCTCCTGCCTCCGCCTCCCTAGTTGCTGGGATTGCAGGCGTGCACCACCATACCCAGCTAATTTTTTGCATTTTTAGTAGAGACGGGGTTTCACCATGTTGGCCAAGCTGGTCTCGAACTCCTGACCTCAAGTAATCTGCCCGCCTCAGCTTCCCAAAGTGCTGGTATTACAGGTGTGAGCCACCGCGCCCAGCCTTGACCCAGCCTCTCTATCATCCTTCAGTGTTCCAGTTACATTTCTGAGGAGATATACCACTGGGAAAGCTGTCTATGTATCTAGAGCTTTTCTAGATTCCAGTCTGTCATTTCAGCCCACATGGGCATCTAAAGCACTACTAGTCTCTTGTTTCCTTTATTAGAGTTCCTCTGCTTAAGCCAAGCTCAGTCCTTACTCATGCCCAAGCTCTGCAGTTACCCCCATGGAAGAACAAGCCAGTGGTCTCAGCTGCCTTGGAAGTGCTCTTCCACCTCTGGATTTTTTGTTCTTTTAGTCCTCATTGCTTCCACAGCTTTCTTACGTTGGTTAGTCTGGTCTTTGAAGCAGGCGCATTGGCCTGCCTCCTATCTAATCACTTACTTTAGGGAAGTGGAAGTCAGAAGTTTATCTTTATAAAAAGAAAAGGCAGATAATTTTAGGAGTGCTTATTTTTATAAGCATAGTGATGTTTTGAATAGTTTTATCTGTGTTGCATACTCATAGCTATAAAGCATTTTTTTCCTTTCTGATATGGGCCTGTTTATCAAAATATGCCCCAGATCTGGGGCGAGCAAACAAAGACCCACAGACCAATGAGGCCCAATTCTTGTTTTTATGTAGCCTGTGAACTAAAAGTGGTTTTTACATTTTTAAAAGGTTGAAAAGAAAATAAAAAAGGAAGAGAATGTTTTGTGAGCATTATGTGAAATTTGGAAGTTTTATTGTAATATATGCACACTCCTCTCTTTATGTGCTGCCGATGGCTGCTTTCGTGCTGTAACCATTGAGTAGTTGCAACAGAGATCTTGTGACTCACAAAGTGTAAAATATTTGCTGTGTGGCCCTTTGCAGAAAAAATTTCCCTATTCCTGCTTTACATCACAGGCTCAGGAATTTTTTATTTCTTATTACTAAGAGAAATTAAGCAAAAGATTGAAACCATTTTATTCCAGAAGTTCTGTAAATTTGGATTTATTAAAATCTTAGCATTTTAGAGGATTTACAAGGAACCTCAGTCTCCTTCATCTCTTTATTTTGCAAATGAAGCAGATTTGAGTGAAAGAGGTTTTAAAATTATGACTACATTTTTGGTATAAAGTATACTCAGTAATAAGCTGATAGAGAAACTATTGATCTATATCACTGAATAATTTGCAAAATTGATTTGTTCTTATATTGCAGAAGTATTTGATTTTTCTTAAGCAGTGTAGCTCTTAAGAAAATATTTTTGGAATTTTTAAAGTAAATATTTTAAGATAAATATTTAAGGCATGTTAATAGCCTTTTCCTTTTATTGTCAACCACAATTCTTTCAAATCTGATGGATATGAAGTTATTTTTGTGAGAAGACTGAAAGTCTTACAGGACCAATTCCAGACATTCTTCATTAAGCTTCGATTGATTTAGAATATAAAGCCCTAAATCATCAGAAATTCCAAGTTAAATTGTTAATGTGTAAGACTGGTTTTTAGAGTTTCTCTTTTATATTCCCATCCTCAGATATTGTGAAAGGTTTAAGCTTAGTTCTCAAATATAGAGATATAATGGTGTGTTATATTACTAGCAAATGGCATTTTTAAATTTTCCAATGTTGAATACAAATTTTGTTTATATAATTTTCAACTTATTACTGGCTCTTTTAGAAAACTTCTACCTCTTCCTCTGCAAACCAAATCAACAACAACAACAAAAAACACAGTAAAAGTAATTTATAATTAATTTGGGAATAGCTAGTTCTTGGATGGCCTGTACTTAAGAATTGATGGGTTCAGATTCATAAGAATTGTTACAACCAATTAAATGCCATCATGCATAGAAAGAAGTATTTTAGAAATGTACGTAAAGTCATTTGAACTTTAAAGAAGTTCCATTAGATAAAACAGACACAAACATTGGTCTCTAATTGGGAAAATTTGAGTCAGTTATAACTTGTCTTTAGGAAATCTATCTGAATTTGGATTTATATATTCTACTTCTCTGAAAATTGGTTTGGAATAAATTTTGATGCTTTTATAAGTTATATAGAAGGGGCTAACCTCTTAGTAGTTATGTATTCCTGTTGCTCAAATACCTGATTTCACTCAGGTAATCTTTAATATAAAGGAAAGTTGGTTTCCTAAATAGTATGAAGAATACGTATTGTGTTTTATTTATTTATTTGTTCATCTGATATTTATTGACCATCCCTGATGCTTCACATTGATGCAGGTGCTGAAAGTACACAGTTGAAATAGACATTCATCATGCCCTCACAATGCTAGTAGTTGAGTAGATTCTATAAGCAGGTATATGTATTTATGTTTAGCATTTGGCACTGTTAATCTTTCTCTTTCTCTTTACTTTTATGGCATACTATCTTGTGGAAATCTCATCCACATACATAGTTTCCATGACCTCCTTTGTACTAAAGTCTGTGCAAAATAATCCCAAGGATAACTCCTTAGTGGGCCTTTCTGGCTAGAGATGCTTTAAATGCACTCATGTCGATACCATAGATGTAGATACCTTATTTTAATCTCTGAGTAAGGCATGTAGCTGTAGCTCTCAACTTCCTCATTTCTCCCCTTCCTCACTCTTTCTCTTATACTTTCTCTTTCTCTTAAAATACTCGTTGAGTACTATATCCCAGGAACTTTTCTGGACAGAGGCTAGAGTAGTGAACAAGAAAGACAGGGCCCCTGCACTATTGGAGCTTTTAGCTTGGCGAGGAAGCAATACATTAAACAGTTCCATACATAATTACAGTTATTGGCTGTACAATGAAACATAAATATACGATGAATGAGAGTGTATATTAGGGAAACTCATCCAGTGTGGGGAGTTAGACTTAAGTGACACTTATGCTGAGACCTCGAAGATAAGTAGTGGTTAGCAGGAGAAGACGTGGTAGAGAATTTCAGGAAGAGGGAAAACCTTTGTGAAAGTTGTGATGAAGCTTAACAGGTTCAGACAACTGAAAGAATATCCTTCTTGCTGGAGTATGATGAATCAGGTGGAAAAGAATGCAAAATGAGGCAGGAGAGATTGATGGAGGTCAGTTATTGGAAGAGGATCTTTTAAACGATGTCGGTGCTTTTGGACTTTATCTTAAGAGAATTGAGAAGATACTGATTTTTAAGCTGGGGAATTATCCACTCAGGTTTGTGTCTTTAAAAGTTGAGTTAGGTTCCTATGTGAAGAATGGATTGAAGGGTATGGATGTGCAGAAATGAGTTAAGCTTTTGCAGTGGTCCAGGTAAGAGGTGGTGGTAACCTAGCTTATTAGCATTGCAGCAGTAAAGATGGTGTGGACAGATTCAATAACTGTTTATGAGATATAATTGACCAGATTTTGTGATTATTTTGATTTCAAGAGTGAAACTGAAGGCAATGTCAAGGATAACATTTTCATCTGCTTGTTACTCTTGTCTATTTGTTGACATTTTGGTATTTTGAAGTTACACATCTTCAAAATCAAACCCATTACTTTTTTTCCAGCAGGCTAACTCTTCCTTCTAACTTCTCTATTTTTAAGAGTGACATTGTCTACCTCCAAGTGACCTAGGCTTAAAATTTTTCTCTTTTGTCACTGCTGTTACTAAATTAGTTACCAAATCTTAAGGACTTGACCCCTTCAGCATCTGGAACAACCTCCTCCCCTTCGTTCTCCCTGCATTCCCTCTTCCCCCCGACTTCATCCTTTTTTCTTTATTACAGCAGTAGTATCCTCTTGTTAGATCACTAAACTGTGCTTTCCATTCAAGTCTCTGAGCTCCTTGGGGACAAGAACTGTCTTTTTCATTTTGTGTCTTTACTACTTTGCATCTCAGCATGGTGAACATAAAACATATTAAGTGAAATGAAAATAAAATGTTTTCCTTGCTTCTTGTTTCTTGCACCATAATTCTTATTCTTTATCACATATTTTTTTCTGTTTCTCAAAAGTTATTCAGGGGCTTCCTTTTGCTTAAAGAATAATTTGGTCTTAGGACTATGTGATAATGAAGTATCCAGACTGGCTGCTGGAGACATAAAGTATATGAGCTGGGGATTTTCCTATAGTAGTTTAGTAAAAAGTGGCTCTTAAGTCCCTTTGCACCGTAGCCCTCACTACCAAAAAGAGCAGATTTTTTTTCTTGGAAACATCACTGACATTTGTAAACATCCCACTATGGATAAAGTATAAAACACTTCATTTGATGCCTTTTTAATGTTTTAAGTTTATGTTTTTGCAGAATTCAAATTTGTATTATCATTTAATATATATTGTATATTGCTTAGCTGCCCCATGTTATCTTCTCAATAGCTACTTTATATGTTAGTATCTTATATGTGTATGTAAAGTATATTGTTTCACATAAAGAAATTTTGCAAGAAAAAGATCCAAATGTCTACTTTGGAAATACCCATTTTTGATAGCTTTGTATGTCCTAATATGAACATTCATATTTTTTTCCCATTTTTCTTTTAATATTTAGGAATAAGAAAATTTTAAATAAGAAGAAATTGAAAAGAAAACAGAAGAGCAAATCAAAAGTGAAGACAAGAAGCAAGGTAAAGCTGCTGGTAATTGATAAGGAATAGGACTTTTTCATATGGTGATTTGAATAAAAATGCCAAGATTAAAAAATATAATTAAACCATTTTATTAGTATGTGCTGAAGTAATTTTGTAAAAGCCCTTTATGATTTGGTTCCTCTTTTAGTTTCATCTTTCTTTTGGGTGTTTCTTTTCTTTCTTGCCTTTTTTTTTTCTTTTTTGAAACAGGGTCTTGTTTTGTCACCCAGGCTGGAGTCCAGTAGTTTCCTGGGCTCAAGTGATCCTTCCACCTCAGCCTCCTGAGTAGCTGGGACTACAAGTAAATGCCACCACAACCAGCTAATTGTTAAATTTTTTGTAGAGACAGGGTCTCACGGTATTGGCCAGGCTTGTCTCGAACTCGTGGGCTCAAGCAATCCTCTCACCTCGGCCTCCCAAAGTACTGACATTGCAGACATGAGCCACTGTGCCCAGCCTATTTCTGGGATTTTCTTGACCAGTAGCCTGGAAGTTAATATCTGGATGTTGAAAATTATTTGCTATTTATTCTTATTATCTTTGATCAGTCCTTTGGGGAACATATCCATTTCTGTTCTCTTTTTTCAATCTGACTACAGGTACTAGAAACTTGAGTAAAATTAGCTTGTAAACTGGGACTTGGATTTGGGTTCATCATATGCCTTTCTTGACAGGAATTAGGGAAACTTGGTGTGTCCATATTGTTCTGAGCCTCTTTTGACTGTTGGTAGCTCTGCAAAAGAAAAGGCAATATGGAATATTTGAATTAGGTGAGACCTTAGAAACCAAGAATCTATTTTCACCTAATGCAGAGATCTCTATAAAATCCATCTTTTTTATACTGAACATTTTCAGTGACCAGAGCACTTGATATAACAGTCTCTTTTCTATTGAACATCTAGACAGAAGGAAGAGAGGAGTCGTAACTATGATTCCTGAATAGCTTCACTTTGAGTTAAAGAAACAATAGATTTGCTGGGCCTGTATAGCAACTATAGAGGCAATTGTTTCCTACACTTTTAAGTTAGTGTTTTTACTATTGTAACTGAGAGAAATCTACTTCAAAGTAGCAAACCTAAAATAAAATGAAAGGTTGGGGGATGGCATTTATTTGGTGGCTCTATCTTGAGACACAGATGGATCCGGGGATGAAATGATATCATTGGCTGGGTGCAGTGGCTCACGCCTGTAATCCCCGCACTTTGGGAGGCCGAGGCTGGCAGATCACGAGGTCAAGAGGTCGAGACCATCCTGGCCAACATGGTGAAACCCTGTCTCTACGAAAAATACAAAAATTAGCTGGGCGTGGTGGTGGGTGCCTGTAGTCCCAGCTACTCAGGAGGCTGAGGCAGGAGATTGCTTGAACCCGGGAGGAGCAGGTTGCAGTGAGCTGAGATCGCACCACTGCACTCCAGCCTGGCGACAGAGTAAGACTCCGTCTCAAAAATAAATAAATAAATAAAAATAATCAAACCCATATTTTCAGCTCTTGCTTCTGCCTTCCTCTGTGTGTGGACTTATTACCTGTGACTGAGGCTGAGGCTGCCAGTAGCTCCAACTCCATTTGCTCTGAGCAAGAGGCAATCTCTTATACTAGTCATAGCAGAAAGTCTTGGGTAGGATTTTCGGTTTACCTGCATCATTTGCTTTGACCACGGAGATACGGGATACTTTGGTTAGACTGAGTTATATTTTTAACCCTGAGATGGGCAGTGGGTGAGCACCCTGGTGAATAGGCCACATGAAATGAGGGAGGAATAGTTACCCTAAGGAAAGTGTTGCCGGGTAGGCAGAAAAATAATCTGTTCACTGTATCCCTTCTCATTACTTCTGCTTCTGGGATAGAGGAGGGAAGTGGAGCGCATTGTCAATATACAGAAAACCTCTAACAAATACAGTCATTCCAACCTCTATCCCTTTTCAACTTTTTGGTGCTATGTGCAAATCGGAGTATGGGAATCTTGAATATCTTTTAAGTTTTTTTAAGGTTTCATTTGGTGATTTTCCTGAAGTGGTGGCATATGATATCCAGGAAGAGGTGAGGAGAAGTCAAGGTCTTTTGTCCCCTTCAATTCGGCCTCCAACTAGCTTTGTGCCCTTAGTAATTCAGTTTTTTTCCTCTTGCTCTCAGTATTTCTATATCTTCTTTTTAAGAGTAGTTTGAGATAACAGTGATGTAAGTAAGTTCATTCATTTATTCCTCAAACATTAATTGCATGCTGAGTATGTGCAGGCATTATGCTGGATGTTTGGGATACAAAGATGAGTAAGAGGCATTTTTTGCTCATGGAAAGCATATAAAGTAGTAAAATGGTGTTGTTAGTCTCCTTGACCTGTATTACTTTTTCCAGATTATTTTTCATCTACCCTCTTTCTGAAAGTTATTTTTAAAATGCCATTTAGCTGGCATTTTATCTACTTTATATCTACTTTATATATATTTTATATATATGTATATATATATGTATATATATATATATATATATATATAGCCATTATATCTACTTTATGGCTATCATCAACCCCTCTATTTCTCCTCATCCATCAGTCATCTCCTTTATTTAATTTCCATCTTACCCAGGTTAGATACCAGTCTTTCTTTTTAGAAAAACTCTTATTTAATCTGTAACAAATTACAAAAACTTGATGGTTTAAATTAACACTCGTTATCTTACAGTTCTGGAAATCTGAAGTCCAAAATGGATCTCACTGAGCTAAAATCAAGGTGTCAGCAAGGCTTTATTCCTTCTGGAGGCTCTAGGAGGGAATCTGTTTTTTTGCCTTTCCAGTTTCTATAGTAGAGGCTGCTCAGATGTCTTGGGTTGTGGCCCCCTTCCATCTTCAAAGCCAGTGGCGGTTGGTTGAGTTTTCTCATGCGGCATCACTGATAGTTTTCTGTTGTTTTATCTCCTCCTCTTACTGTCCAGCCTCCCTCTTTCACTTGTAAGGACCCTTGTGATTACATTGGCCCATCCAGATAATCTGTGCATTTCAAAATCCTTAGTTTAATCACATATACAGAGTCCCTTTTGCCATGTAAGGTAATATTCACCTGGGTTCTGGGGAATTAGGGTATAGAAGTTTTTGGAGGCTATTATTTACCTACCATATCTCCCTTGTATATTTGTTGCATTAATCTGACAAAACTCAATCTTGTGTGAATCCAGTTATTTTGTCCCTCCCTTAAGGTGAGTTCCATGTGCTGCCAAAGAGAGTTACACAAGAGTTAACTGATAATGATACACATTCATGATCATCAATCTCAAGTATACCATAGCCAGACTATCTTATTATTTTTTCTGGTCAAATAGTTCTCTTTTCTTCTGTGATTATTTCAGACCTTTGCCATGCTCCTCAAACCTCTGATAAATTCTACCTTCCAGCACATGACTTCACTTTCTTACAGGAGAAATCAAATTCATTACTCAGAAAAGTTCCTCAACTTCCTAATCCCAAATGCGTCTGTCTTCAGGCTTCTCAGTAGCTGAGCCTGACATAGAGATTTGAAGTTTGCAGTTCAGTAAGTTTTGAAAGTTAACATTCATGCATAGAAGCACTACTGCAGTCAAAGTTCAGAACATTTCTATCATCTCCAGGGGTTTTCTTTTTTTTTCTTTCTTTTTTTTTTTTTTTTTTTGAGACGGAGTCTTGCTCTGTCTCCCAGGCTGGAGTGCAGTGGTGTGCGATCTCAGCTCACTGCAGCTTCTACCTCCTGGGTTCAAGCAATTCCCTGCCTCAGCCTCCTGAGTAGCTGGGATTACAGGCACCAGCCACCACGTCCAGCTAATTTTTGTATTTTTAGTAGAGACAAGATTTCACCATGTTGGCCAGGCTGTCTCAAACTCCTGACCTCAGGTGAACCACCCGCCTTGGCCTCCCAAAGTGCTGGGATTACAGGCACAAGCCACCGTGCCTGGCCGGTTTTCTTACCCTCTGCTGATTCCATCCCTCCCTATAACCCTGGCTGTAGACAACCACAGATATATTTTCTGTCACTGTAGATTAGTTTTCATTTTCTAGAACTTCATATAAATGTGATCATATTGTGAGTGCTCTTTTTTTTTTAAATCTGGTGTCTTTCCCTCAGCATAATGATTTGTGTTAATGTTGTTGTATATCAATAGTTCATTCCATTTTTTTGCTGATTTTATATACATATATATGCACTTGTGTGTGTATGTGTGTGTGTTCAGTTTTCTTGGGTGCATACTGAGGAGTGGAATGTTTAGGTGGTTTTTCCTTTGATTTGCCAGAAGGACTCATAAATCTCACAAGCAATTTATACTCATGGCTAAGATTTATTACAACAAAGGATACAGAGCAAGCAGCAGGAAAAAGGTATGTGTTTGTGATGTATAGGAAGTTATGGCATAGGCTTCCTAGTTCTTCATTGACTGAGCTTTCATGTCAGAAAGAAAGACATGCTTTCTCTCTGGCAGTGAACTACAGAGAAATGTGTATATTGTTTTTGCTCAGGTGAGTTTTAGAATTCAAGACTTTGTGGGTTTGGTCACACAGACATATCTTGTTAGTCAATCAGACATGGTAAGTGAAACTCAGGTACACATTGTAAAGCTTGATGTTCGTACATGCAGAGCAGTCTGACAGGCCAGGAGGCATGGTCCATTGCTCTGTGTGTTCATAACACAATCATCAATCACTACCACAAAGAAAACTCTAAACATCCACATTCC
The DNA here is from genome assembly GCF_000001405.40 of Homo sapiens. Classification (NCBI taxonomy): domain Eukaryota; kingdom Metazoa; phylum Chordata; class Mammalia; order Primates; family Hominidae; genus Homo; species Homo sapiens. Next base: position 77,291,901 of record NC_000013.11, on the reverse strand, counting down.
CAAAGGTTAGCCAAGGGTCAATCATGGTTTCCTTGGGGAAATACAAGGAGTAAGCAATCATGCCTGCAGCGTTAACTTTTTCCTCAGAGTGGGCACGGTAAATGTACGTTTAGTTTAGCTTTTTTTTTTTTTTTGAGACAGAGTTTCGCTCTTGTTCCGCAGGTTAGAGTGCAATGGCACGATCTCGGCTCATTGCAACCTCCGCCTCCCAGGTTCAAGCAATTCTCCTGCCTCAGGCTCCCGAGGAGCTGGGATTACAGGCATGCACCGCCACGCCCGGCTAATTTTGTATTTTTAGTAGAGACGGGGTTTCTCCATGTGGAGGCTGGTCTCGAACTCCTGACCTCAGGTGATCTGCCCGCCTTGGCCTCCCAAAGTGCTGGGATTACAGGCGTGAGTCACTGCACCCGGCCTGTACATTTAGCTTTTTAAGAAACTAGAAAACTCTTTTCCAAAGTGGTTGTTCCAATCTGTAGTCCCACCAGTGGTATATGACCAATCTAGTTGCTTCATATCTTTGCAAACATATGGTATTCGCTTTTTAAATTTTAGTCAGCCTACTAAGTAGGGGTTTCCCATTGTGGTTTTAGCTTGCTTTTCTCTAATGACTAATGATGTGAAATCTTTTCATGTACCTTTTGCCATTCTTATTTTTTTGATGTGAAATGTCTGTTCAGATCTTGCCTCTTATTTTTGTAATTGTCTTCTTCTTATTGAATTGCCAGAGTTTCTCATATATTCTAAATACAAGTCTTTTGTCAGATATCTGCATTCCAAATACATTTCTCCTGTTCTGTGGCTTGCTTTTGGGGGAAGAATTGCCATTTTAATGATATTGAATTTTCCAATCCATGAACATGGTATATGTCTCCATTTATTTAAGTCTTTAAATTTCACTCAGCAACACTTTTTTGTTTTCAGTGTGTAGGGCTTACACATATTTTATTACTTTTATTTACAATTATTATATATTTTTGATGTTACTGTAAATGCAGTTATTTTTGAAAATTTATTTTGCTTTGAGATGATTTCAGTATGAATGCAGTGTGTATGTGTTTGTGTGCACCTAAGTCTGTGTAATTTTATCACATGTGTAGGTCCATGTGACTCTTACCACAGTCTGGATATACAGCAGTTCCATCACAAGGATTCTCTGTGATATCCTTTATAGCCACAGGTATCTTCCTTCCTCACCCTCTCCTTAGCTTCTGGCAACCACTGATCTGTTCAGCATTTATAATTTTGCCATTTTAAGAATGTTGTCCAGTGAAATTGTACAGTATGTAATCATTTAAGATTGGTGCTTTTTTTCCCCACTTGGCAAAATGTCTTTGAGATTCACACACATTGTTGCATATTGTTTGTTCCTTGATGAGTAAGCATTTCATGGTATGGATGTACTATAGTTTGTTTAACCATTTACCCATTAAAAGATATCTGAGTTGTTTCTAGCTTTTGACTATTTTAAAAGAATGCTATTACGAACATTCGTGTACTGGTTTTTGTGTGAACATAAGTTTTTATTTCTCTGGTGTAAATGTCCAAGAACATAATTGCTGGATTATATGGTAAGCACATATTTAGTTTTGTAGGAAATTGCTGTACTTTCTTCCAGAGTGGCTGTACCATTTTACATGACCATCAGCAATGTATAAGTTTCTCCTCATCCCCACCAGCATTTGGTGTTGTCACTATTTATTTTAGCCATTCTGATAGGTGTGTACTATATCTCATTTTAATTTGCATTTTCCTAGTAGCTAATGATGTTGAAATTCTTTTCATGTGCTTATTCACCCTTTGTGTAAATATCTTCTATATTGATGTGTTTATTCCTATCTTTTGCCCATTTGTTAATTGGATTCCTTGTTTGTTTTTACTGTTGACTTTTGAGAATTCTTTATATATTCTGAATACTCATCCTTTGTTGGATATGTGGTTTGCAAATATTTTCTCCCAGTCTGTGACTTCAATGCTATTATTTTTGAAATTACATTTTTTCAGTTGTTCATTCCTAGTATGTGGATATACTACTCATTTTTATATAGTAATTTTATATCCTGTGATTTTGTTAAATCTGCATACTATTTCTGGTAACTTTTTTGCAGATTCCTTAAGATTCTCTACATGTTTTTTTACAAGTAAAAACATTTCTTTTTTAGAAAATACTTCTTGCCTTTTTCCCTTGGCTGGATAGGATATTTTCCTTGCACTAGATAGGATATCCAGTACAATGTTGATGAGTTGCTGAGAGTAGACCAATTTGCCTGGATCACAATCTTAGAGGGAAAGCATTCAGTCTATTACCATGTTAGCTGTGGTTATTTTGTAGATACCCTTTATCAAGTTGAGAAAATTCCCTTCTATTCCTAACTTAGACTTTTTTTTTTTCTATCATGAATCGATACTGGATTTTTGTCAAGTGATCTTTCTGTGTTTATTTGAAGTATAATATATTTTTTCTCTGTTACAACAGTGGTTGCTTTTCCAGTGTTGTGCCAGCATTGTCCCTGGGTTAAACCTCAGTTGGTCATAATGTATTACTTTTTTATATATTGTTGGATTTGAATAGCTAATACTTGTAATATCTCTGGATATTTGGATGAGATATTTGTAATATCTCTTATACATATATTCATAAGTTATATGCCATGCCAATTTAACTTTTTGATGTATTTCTTATTTAACAAGTGTATTTTTTTTTTCCAATTCTTTATGGAAGAAGAGTCGAATATTTGGGACCAAGTGTTTTTGGTACTTGAGGTATCATTTTGTTTATCTTAGATACTTCCTGGACATACTCTAATTATTGGAAGTTGAATTTCTAAAATATTTTAAAACAGCTTTTTATATTTATAATATAAATGTTGATCTTGAAATTGTAGTTGCTGTCTGATGAATAAAATATTGGGCATAAAAGAGAAACTGTTTAGTCTTAACAAATTACCAATCACATGATTTTTAGCCTTTATCAATACTGATAGGTGAGAGAGAGCTTAGGGAAGCATCTACAGTTTACTTGGCATTACTGTTACTTGAATGAGAATGAAATGAGCTGATGAAAATTAAGTGTTTTTTTGGGAGGCCCTCATTTCTGTGTAAACTTCTATATCTACTTTTAAAAGCATTCAAAATGCAATCTAATGTTTGTAGTAGGTCATTGAGACTCTACAGTGTGTCTAGAGTCTCTTAGGAAGTCGTAAAATGAATTTCCTTTGATACAGAACTCTAAGAGTTAAGCTTTGTTGAGTCTATTCCTGTCATGGCGATACAAGAATATTTCTAAGTTTTTTGCCCATCCTTTTCCAGCCCTTGTCAGATTGGTTGGTTATTGCTGCATTGCTCAAAAAATAGTGAGGTATAGAAAAGGGGACTAGAAGTTGGGTCCATAGACTTAGACTGTCTCTGCTGTGTCACATAATGTGTCTTCTGCAAGTCAGTTAGTGTGTCTAATCTTTACTTTTATGTAAAATGGGACTTGATGATAGAAAAGAGTGTGAAATGGAAATATTCTGTTTTGTATTTCAGTCTGAAAACTTAGAGAATACAGTAATCATACCAGATATCAAACTACATAGCAATCCTTCTGCTTTCAATATTTACTGTAATGTACGCCATTGCGTTCTGGAATGGCAGAAAAAGGAAATATCATTGGCAGCCGCATCTAAGAACTCTGTGCAGAGTGGAGAATCAGATAGTGATGAAGAAGAGGAATCCAAAGAGCCCCCTATCAAGCTTCCAAAGGTAAGCCACTGAGTTCTATTAATATTTAGATGTGTAACCTGCAGGTGTTCTGGCTATAATGCATATATACGCATTGCTAAAATACTTTGCTTTATGTAAAATTGCACACTAAAAATAACACGGCTTATGGGCAAAAATAGATTTGGAGCAGAAAAGGAAAACTCTGCAACTTTATAACTAAGGTGCTAACAAAGTCAATAATTGATAATTCACTGGAAAGCGCAGGAAGGGAGATCAGTGGGTTGGAGTCTGTTATAGGGGCAATTAAAAAATGTACAAAAGCAGTAGGGTGGAAATGCTAGTATAGAGGCATTGAGCCATGGCAGATGGAAGTAGAGCTCTGAGCCAGTGAGCCGAGAGTAAGGTGGGCACAAGAGAAAGCCAAGAGCCCTGGAAAGCTGGGAGGTGCTCCTCACCTGGGATGCAGGTATGCGTTTTTATTTTTCTTGAAATAGAACTACAAAGCCTCTCAGCTGTGTAGTAGCAGGGCTGAGAGCCTTTTCCTTTCTGCCTAAGCTTATAATTGTACTCTTGATATTGTGGTTTCCCTTGATTAGGAAAAAAAAAAATCACCTATGAACCAACTGAACTTCTGCATTATTCTGATATTACTCCCTTATTTACCAGGAGCATATAAACTAGTTGGTATTTCTATAATAGAAGCATGTATTGTAGGCCGGGCGCAGTGGCTCTCACACCTGTAATCCCAGCACTTTGGGAGGCCAAGGCGGGTGGATCACCTGAGGTCAGGAGTTTGAGAACAGCCTGGCCAACATGGTGAAACCCTGTCTCTACTAAAAATACAAAAATTAGCCCGGCATTGTGGCAGTCGCCTATAATCCCAGCTACTCAGAGGCTGAGGCAGGAAAATTGCTTGAACCCAGGAGGCGGAGGTTGCAGTGAGCCGAGATCATGCCATTGCACTCCGGCCTGGGTGACAGAGTGAGACTGTCTCAAAAAAAAAAAAAGAAACTGGCTGGGCGTAATGGCTCACGCCTGTAATCCCAGCTCTTTGGGAGGCCAAGGCGGGCGGATCACGAGGTCAGGAGATCGAGACCATCCTGGCTAACACGGTGAAACCCCGTCTGTACTAAAAACACAAAAAAAACTTAGCCCGTCACGGTGGCGGGCGCCTGTAGTCCCAGCTACTCGGGAGGCTGAGGCAGGAGAATGGCGTGAACCCGGGAGGCGGAGCTTGCAGTGAGCCGAGATGGCGCCACTGCACTCCAGCCTGGACAACAGAGCTAGACTCCATTTACCAAAACAAAAAACCTGTATTATAGAACTACTCTCAGTTTACTCTGTTCTGTTTAAGTATTGGTATATTTAAGACTGGAAGGTCTATATATATATATATATATATATATATATTTTTTTTTTTTTTTTTTTTTTTTTTTTTTTTTTTGAGACGGAGTCTAGCTCTGTTGCCCAGGCTGGAGTGCAGTGGTGCCATCTCGGCTCACTGCAAGCTCCGCCTCCCAGGTTCAGGCCATTCTCCTGCCTCAGCCTCCCAAGTAGCTGGGACTACAGGCACCTGCCACCGCGCCCGGCTAATTTTTTTTTGTATTTTTAGTAGAGACGGGGTTTCACCGTGTTAGCCGGGATGGTCTCGATCTCCTGACCTCGTGATCCGCCTGCCTCGGCCTCCCAACGTGCTGGGATTACAGGCGTGAGCCACTGCACCCAGCCTGTTATATATATTTTTTCTATATAGTAGATATAGTTAATATTTACAACAAAAGAATAGGTGAAAATATAGACATTTTTAAATGGTGCCTTTATATGACTTATGCATATTGCTTTTTTCTAAACAGAGCTATTCAAAATGATTTTATAATTATAAATGATTTATGACTATTGCCTTTTTACTAAACTGATACCTTAAAATTATGCCTTGAAAGCTTATACATATCCACAAGGGATTGTGTAAATATTTTTTACTACTTGGAAATAGCAGCATAAATGGAACCTGGTCTGAGTTCTTTTGCACATTTTATGGTGGCTGTTCCTAAGTACACCACCATCCTTAATCATATTGTCAGGTTCTTCTCACCTTATTCTCGGCAGATGGCTTGCTTCATATTTCATAGAGTAATACAAGTTTTGTGAACTTACTCAGCTTCTTGATCAGCCATCTTCACATGTCCTTTTTGCCTCCTGTTTTAGAGTGGGACCCTTTTCTTTTTCTTATTTCCTTTGTCTGCAATGTCCTAACTGTACCTACTCTAATAGCTCCTTCCTTCCTTCCTTTGCTTTCCTTTGCTTTCCTTTCCTTTCCTTTCCTTTCCTTTCCTTTCCTTTCCCTTCCTTTCTCCTTTTTTCTTTTCCCTTTCCTTTTCCCTTTTCCTTTGCCTTTCCCTTTCCTTTCCTTTCTTTCACGGAGTTTTGCTCTTGCTGTCCAGGCTGGAGTGCAATGGCATGATCTTGGCTTACTGAAACCTGTGCCTCCTGGGTTCAAGCAATTCTCCTGCCTCAGCCTCCTGAGTAGCTGGGATTACAGGCATGTGCCACCGCGCCTGGCTAATTTTGTATTTTTATTAGAGATGGGGTTTCTCCATGTTGGTAAAGCTGGTCTCAAACTCTGGACCTCAGGTGATCTACCCACCTTGGCCTCCCAAAGTGCTGGGATTACAGGTGTGAGTCACCGTGCCTGGCCAATAGCTTCTTTCTTTAACCTAAAACAAACATGTTTATCTTTAATATGGGAGCTGCTCTACATAGAAATTATGGTCTCTAATTGTAATTTCTTATGCTTAACTAGGAGAGATTGAGATAAAAAACATAGTTGAGTTAGGACGTAGGGCTGGAGGACTTGTATAATTTACTTTTTAGTTAGAATACCAATTCTGTGTATGTGTGAGTCACACTGTATTATAGTAATTGTGCTACTTAAGTTCAATATTGTGAGAGAAAACAAAAGCCTGGGTAAATTTTTTACACAGGTATGCAGATTTTGAATAGTAAACTGTAGTTCAAATTAAATTGCATAAACAAGAACAATGGATTCCTAGGGTGTTTAAAAACATCAGGATTAGTGAGTATTAAATGAAATATCAGGCATTCTTAAGATAACCTTTTGCAGCATAATTAACAGAGTCAAAGGGGTATCTTTCAAAGAAAATTAAAGAAGATCAGATAGCCCAAGTGATTAATACTGAATTTTCTACCAAGTACTGACCTGTCTGCAAACAGGGTTAGCATGGGTTATGGAGCCAAACTGCTGGGGTTCAAACACCATTAAAATTACTAGCTATGTGACACTGGAAGTTATTTGACACATCCGTGCCTCAGTTTTGTCATCTATAGATTGGGGGTTGCATCTACCTCATAGGGTTGTAGTGACAATTTAAATGAATTAATGGATGTTGAGTGCTTGAGAGAACAGTACCTGGCAGAAAGAAGTGCTCGGTAAATGATATATATAGTTGTAAGTGTCAGTTTAGGTGCAAACAAGAAAATGTGTAGGTGCAAATGAATTTGAGTTACTTGTCAAGGAACTCTTCAGTTTATTAAAAAAATTATGCAAGCAAATGAAACTTCTAGAGAATCAGTGCAATCACCTGATGAATGAGAGGTAAAGAGAGGAAGAAGTGATGAGATGCCTCTATGCAGAGGCAAGCAGATACTATGGGTGGGGAGTGAAACTTTCAGGTGATATTTTTTGGCAGCCATTTCCATGACATGAAGGATTGACACTGAGGACGAAATTAGTCTCTTAAGGTTTGAGGTGATGGGATTTGAAGGCAAGTGGGAAATGTTGGCATTTTTCTTTTCCCTTTGACCTTCTCTGTGCCTCAGCCCCAAATGCTGCTATTATCCTAGTTTGCTCCTTTTCTTTGTTCCTCTGTTGCTCCTCCTAAGTGTGTGGCTGTCCCATTCCTTCTTGCCTGAGGTTTCTGTTTCTTGTACTCTTTTTTTTTTTTCCTTAACATGATTAAGACAGTTTTTAATCTGTTGTTGAAGTGTTGTTGTAATACAGTTTTATTTTTCCCATTCTTGAGTTTTAAATTATTATTTAGTTACTAATAAATTGAGTTTGACTGTTATATAGACCTTGATTGTCACCCTTTTGCTTTTTGCTTTTGTTTTTGTGTTTTGCGGATCAGTAATCATTGATGTATTTAAACGAGCTTTCTATTCCCTGAATGCTTCTACATTAAGTTTTTTAACCAGCTCAAACTGTCACTAAAATCTACATCCTCTAAAACTTTACAGATTTTATAGCTACATAATTTTTATTATTTTTGTTTTTATTTTCATTTTGAGACAGGGTCTGGCTCTGTCACTGGGGCTGGAGTGCAGTGGCGTGATCTCAGCTCACCGTTAACTTCCGCCTCCTGGGCTCAAGTGATCATCCCACATTAGCCTCCCATGTAGCTGGGACTACAGGTGTTTGCCACCACCCCAGGATACTTTTTGTATTTTTAGTAGAGATGGGGTTTTGCCAGATTGCCCAGGCTGGTCTCGAACTCTTGAGCTCAAGCAGTCTGACCGCCTCAGCCTTCCAAAGTACTGGGATTACAGGCAGGAGTCACCGTGCCTGGTGCATAATTTTTAAATAGTAACGCTTAGAAGTCATATTTCCCATCTGAACCCATTTGAAGCCAGTCATGCCACATTATTAAAAGATTTAGACTTACCTAGGATCATTTCTTTCTTAATTCAGTATATTCTTTTTGAATTTGTAGCCAGCATTATATTAGGTCCTGAGAACAAAAGGATGAGACATAATTCCTGCCCTCAAGAAAGCATTGTCTTGTAGGGATAAGAACCAGGTCAATAAATATTCTCTAGTGCCTTAAGGATTGATAGGGAGTGCTAGATATAGTGGAACACGTTAGAGAAAGGACTCAACACTGGCTGAGATAGAGCAAGAGAGAGAGAGCAGGAAGCTAAATCATGAAGGGCCTTATGTGCCATGTAATTGATTCAGATGTTATCTCATAATTAGTAAATATTGAAGATTTTAAGCAAAAGAATATCATCAGACTTGCATGATTGCATCAGACTCACCACCCTGTAGTTATGAATATGCCTTACTAACACTGGAGTAACTTTGTACTCCAGTAAGTAAGTAACTTTGTACTCCAGTTAGTAAGTAACTTTGTACTCCGGTTAGTAAGGCATATCCATAACTACAGGGTGGTGAGTGAGACTGGAGACAGAGGAACCATTTAGGCAGTTATTGCAGTTGTCTAGAGAGTGTTAATGAGGGTTGGAATTATGGTAGTGACAGTGTTTTGAATATAGGAAATGTTAAGCAGAATTGACAGGAATTAGTAATAAATTGGCTATAACGACTGAAAAAGAAGGCAGAATCTAAAGATATTCTTAAAGGTTTTGTGTGGTGAGGGCCTTTACTGAAAGAGGGAATACTGGATGAGGAACAGTGCTTGGCTGAAATGATGATCAAGTTTAGTTCACATGCTGATTCTGAGGTAAATGTGAAGTATCCAGTGTGTGCTATGTAGGGCTGAAGTTCAAAAAATAAGTGTCAGCTAGAAAAATAGATTTGGGAGTTATCACTATGTAGGCACAAGTTGAAACAAATTTCTGTGAGAGATCGGAGGGGGTGGGATCAAGAACATTGTTTGAAAAAATAGCTTTGAAAAGTTGAAAAGTTTTGAAAAGTTCTCTTCCTCTGAGTGTGAAGAGAAGGGAAGAAGATGGTAGTAGTCATAGATAAATTTGTTAGGCAAGGAACTCAGAAACTTCACACTCATACTTTCTTTCTTTTTTTTTTTTTTTTCAAGATGGAGTTTCACTCTGCTTGCCCAGGCTGAAGTGCAGTGGCACGATCTTGGCTCACTGCAGCCTCCACCTCCTGGGTTCAAGTGATTCTCCTGCCTCAGCCTCCCAAGTAGCTGGGATTACAGGCATGCGCCACCATGCCTGGCTAATTTTGTATTTTTAGTAGAGATGGGGTTTCACCATGTTGGCTAGGCTGGTTTGCAACTCCTGACCTCAGGTGATCTCCCAACCTTGGCCTCCCAAAGTGCTGGGATTATAGGTGTGAGCTACCACACCCGGCCTCACATTCAGAATTCTCCATCTTAGCCTTCTCCTCCTCTCTTTCTGCTGCTGCCTCTTCCCCCTCCTTTTTTCTCTGTCTCTAGATTTTTAAATTTTTTATTATTTGTAGATATTATCTCTGTACCAAATATTTGCTTTATACAAACAATTTTAAAAGACAGTATACTTCACTCTATGGTAATATGTAAATATAATTTTGATTTCCTTTTGAGCTTTTTCAAATATAAAAGTATAGGAAGTGATTTTAGGACCTTTTAACTAAACAAGATACAATTTTTAAGGGTAAAGAATTAATTATTAAATCCAAATGTGATGTAACTAAACTTTTATGATCACACTTAGTCATGAAATAATAAAGTCACGTTTGGAAATATATGATTTGAGAAGGGCAAAATAAAACCTTGAAAGACTCTTTATATATCATTTTTCTTTGGCCAAATATATTTTTATCTCACTTTCCTAGCATATTAGACTGGCTGTATCAGGTAATTATTTGGGCTTCATGTTTCTTTATCTTTCAAATATGATAGATAACCTTCAAAATTTAATTATTTGAGAGCAGCAGTAAAGGTAAAATTCAGTAAATTTACAAAAGACTATTTTCTGAAGAGAAGTGCGAAAGCATGTGTTGGGTAATTAGTTATAGTTCGTTATGGAAAGTATTGAAGCTTCTTGTGTTCTTTTATTGTTATAATTATTATTTTTATTAAATATCACATTTATTTATTTTGCTAATTATACATATTTATTGTAGATGATTTGAAAAATCAGAACATTTTTCTAAAGAGGTATTAAAAATCGGAAGTAATATTTGAAATACCATTAACCAAAATATACCCCAATATAAACATTTTTATTTCTTTTGTCATTTTTTCTATGTACACATTAAAATGTTTTTTACACACAAATGAAATAATACTATATTGGCAGGACTATATTTTTTCTCCTTACACTCTTCCTTCCTGATACTGAAGGAGGGAGAAATATGTGTTTTCATTGACTATAAGACTTCAAACTGTTTTAAAGTCTACTTTCAAAGTTCAAACTTTTGGTAAAATACTTTATACTTAGCCAAACAGCAGAAAAAGACTTATTTAAGAACATGTCTGTTACCTCTGTGCAATAATCCATAGCTAAATATTAAAAATTCTTTAATAGTTGCAGAACTTGAGGTTGATTTTTGTTGTGTATTGAATATATATTACTATTCTGAAAATGAATGTTTTCCCATTTGTTAAACAAAAAGTCTACAATGAACCAAGATGTGGATAATTAGTGAGACTCTCACAGTGTTTAACCCAGACAGATGAAGAGTTCCCTATCATCATTGTGACCAAAGTTTTATGGGCCAGTCTCACTAAAACCGGCTAGCTCTGTTTCTAGGCAGCCCACCTGAGTTGCCTATTGCCATTCACTTGTTATTACACCTTAAACTTACCAGAGAGATCAAGAACCTGTTCATTAGGCAGTCTTACTGTTTCTGGCAAGGTTCAATAATTCCGTTGTCACCGTAGGAAACTGTATCTATAATAAATGAACCTTAGCCAAAAATGTCATCTGTGAAAAATCCTCTTGGATTTATGAAAAATCATGGTTGGTAGCAGAGTAAGCAATCTGAAAGAATAACAGAATATAGTAGTCTTCCATTGGCTTGAGAATAGAGCCCCATATTTTGTACTCTGGAGATCTTTGACTTCACATTTCTCTTTCCTGTAAGTACATAAGCAGATGGAAATCTTGGACAGCATGTTCTTGTTTTCTAGTCCATTCCAGGAAAAGAAACTATATCAAATGTGAAAGTTTAATCACTTAATGTGTTTAATCAATTGAAACTCTATGCAGACTCTTCTGTAATATTAGCTATAATCAAGTCTGTTAGCATTTTAGATAACTTCTCCAAAGACAGTCCTCCTAGTTATTTGACTTCTTAGCTATATCTGTTGTTTCCAGAAAACTTGTAAATGTTAATCAGAACTACAATTGACTTACCTTCAGCCGACTTGCTTCTGGTTTAGAAAATGTATTTCTGAGATGCAGTGGTTTTTTAGCAAACAATTTAGTGAATAAATTAAACAAATATTTAATGTGTGCCTACCATATGCTAGGTAATTGGCTAGGCATGGGAGGTATTAAGCCGTTTAAGACATGTTCCTTGTATATTGGAAGATAATACAAGCCGTTTAAGACATGTTCCTTGTATATTGGAAGATCCCAACATGGTTGGGAAAATGAAAACAAAAATAGTTATACTGTAATGTAATAAATGCTATAACAGAGGTCTGTATTGAGTATGAATTATATAGCATGACTAATTTACCCTATTAGATTATAAACTCTTAGAGGACAGGGTCTAGTATACCTTCATATTTCCTAAAGTGAGTTTGCACAATATGAGTGCTTAGGAGGTATTTATGTAATATATGAATTAATGCAAAAATATCAGCAGAGAGAATATTCTTCCACTGTTGTGTTCAATAGAATTAATGGTTTTGGGAGTTTCTACTAATTAGTCTTATTTCAATTTTTCTGTTACTTCTCCAAACAATTTAATTAATACTTCTTGAACTGGTTCTCAGAATGTTGACATTGCCTGAGAAATGGAATTTGTCTTTTGTTTTATCAGTCTTATGAAGGTATATCCTTAAACTCATTCATTGCAATTTGCTCTCTCAATCTTTAGTAACAAATTTATCTCTTTTGCTGGATATAGAGTCTGATTTTTCTTGCACCTGATGAGGAATAGTAAGATAATTAAAGGAAAAGTACCAGTGATATTTTTAGCTAAGCAGTTTTAAATTGTTTTGTGATCATCCTACAAGAAGGGATACCAACTATAAATAATAATATAGTGATTGTACCATTATAGAAAAGGCTAAGACGAAAAGCTCCTTGTAAAATCTTTTTACTATATGTGCTGTGTTGACTTTATTTCTGGTTATAGGTAACAATTAACATGACTTTTGACAAAAAGAGTACTGAATTTTCCTTGAGTACAATCAAATGAACTTTGCAAATTAATATAGTTTATTTCTTCTGAGTGAATGCAATCTAGTCTCTAGTTCATTGTTATAAGCCATTTTCATGATGTTTTATTATGGCTCCATTATACATATACATTATCATTTGCTGTGGAAGTAACTTGTACCAACTAAACTGCTTAGAAAGTGTTACTAGCTTACATGTCATAAAGTATATATATTTTTTCCTTTTAAATAGATTATTGAGGTTGGCCTTTGTGAAGTTTTTGAATTGATCAAAGAGACACGATTTTCTCATCCATCCCTGTGTCTCAGGAGTCTCCAAGCCCTGCTCAACGTGCTGCAGGGCCAGCAGCCAGAAGGCCTCCAGTCTGAGCCACCTGAGGTCCTAGGTAAGAGCCAAGGCTCATTCAGTGAAGCATTTAAAAGTGAATATAATTAATAATAGAGTATTGTACACTTCAAAATTGTTAAGAGAATATTTCTAAAGTTCTCACTACAGAAAATGTTAAGTACTTGAGGTGATAGATGTTAATTAGTCCACATTTTATTCATGAATCATAACATCACTTTATACCCCATAAATTTATATAATTATAAATTGTCAATTTGCAGTTTTTAAAAAGTGAAGAGCTTCTCTTATGAAGCACACACAATAGCCTGTAATGCAGTCTTTATTTAATTGTGGTACGGAAACAGCAGGGGTATAAGTTCTAGAGTATTTTTTTCTGTGTTCCACTGAAGTTATGGTTTAAGAGTTGAAGTTCGTGCACACACATTTCTCAATTAGTATGATGAAGCGGGGGGCAAACAAAACATAAATCCCTGGAATCCAGAAATAATCCTCAAACCTTAAGGTCACTATTAACTGAAATCGTTCTTATTAAACTTTTGGCCAAAATAGCTAACATTCACTTTCTCTAACTTGTTACTCTCAATAGTTTTAAAAAACAGGGGAAAAGGAAATAAATGCCACAAAGCCAAAACAGTACAATTAGTTTCTAAATTGAGGGGACTTTTTTTTGTATTCATCATAAATAAAAATCTATTTGTGTTATGGATTAAACTTCTGACTTAGCAACTTTCATTAAGTAAATAAAGTGTTCGCTTTTCTTAAAGTATGTTCCGATTCTTGCCTTTCATATCAGTGACCCAGACTCAACATGTAATCCTTTAAATAAGATAGGAGCTTTTACTTAAAAGGTACTAAGGAATAGAAATATAGATGGAAGCATAATTTTTAACTGGTTAATTGCTTTTTTTCTCCGATGCTAACTATGGGTCTTTAAACTATCTAAAGTTTTCTAGATCCTTCTATTATTATAGGAAAATTCTCAGAAGTACTAGAGCTGTGGTTCTCATTATGTGGTTCTCAATTCTCATTAGCATGTATCAGAGTTATCGGGGACTTCCCTATGGTGTTTCTGATTCCATAGACTTGGGGTGGGGCCCAAAAGTTTGTATTTGGAATTAGTTTCTTGGTGATACAGATGCTGGTTTGAGGAGTACACTGCTGGTTTAGACTAAAACTTGGTCCTTTTTTTCCGACTTGGCTATTTAGATTTTGTAGGACCCACCTGTGAGAACCAAACTGCATGAACCTAACTACATGTCAGATTTTTCTTTTTTGGTCGCATGTGGGGACTCAGTTATTGTGTTTGACTTTTGTTTGTTTTAATGAGAGGGAGGATGCTGGTCATTGAAACAAGCTGAGGATTTTTTAAAACCACCCCCCTCACATACACAGTTATTAAAAGCTATTACCAAATAGAAGCTGTCATGTTGGCAGGCAAGCACCGTGTTGGTTATTGTTATGATAGCACCAGTGATCATATTAATATTGTGAAGTGCTGCTTGGCTTGACAGCATTTTACTGAAGATTTGATTTATTTTATTTAACAATATTTTGCTCGGTTTTCTTGGATTTGGTTTGTTAGTTAGCAAATAATTGGAATGTTGAAATACCCGCGAAGACTTGGATGTCGTATTTCCTACTTTGAACATGTTATTTCTTTCCTCCTAAGTCTTCTACCATTCTCATGTCTCATGTCAGTTGTTATATACTTTCCTTTGTATCCATTCTGTACATACTTTCTTTCCTTTATTCTTTTAAAACTAGAACTTGTTCTTAATACTGGCTTTGGCATATAATATGTGCTTTAGTCTTATCTTCCATCAAAACTTTCACATTATTGGCTGGGTGTGGTGGCTTATGCCTGTAATCCCAGCACTTTGGGAGGCTGAGGCAGGAGGATAGCTTAAGGCTGGGAGTTTGGGACCAGTCTGGGCAACTTAGACCCCTATCTCTCCAAAAAAAAAAAAAAAAAAAAAAACTGGGCATGGAAATGAGTGCTACTCAAGAGGCTAAGGTGGGAGGACCGCTCGAGCCCAGGAGTCTGAGGCTACAGTCGGCTGTGATCATGCCACTGCGCTGCACTCTAGCTGGGTGACAGAATGAGACCTCATCTCTACCAAAAAAAAAACCCCCAAAAAATCCCACAAAACCCAAAAATATTTCACCTTATTAATCTGTTCATTTTTATTTTCTTGTTTAAAGTTTCAAATTCTGCTGTACTGCCTTTCGTCTGTCTTCCATCCTTTCAGTGTTTACTGCTGATCTCGTCACTGCTTTGGCTTATTTTTCTATGTAAGGGATTTATTATCACTTCATGTTTTCTATTTTGTTAAATTAGCTCAAAGATAAAAGCACTGATTTGGTTCTTTTATACTAAATTTCTTTTGAAACTTGCCTCTCCTCCTTTTTTTAATCTAATATCACAATCTTATTGGTTATCCTTTTTTTCCCATTCGGTTGTTTTCGTGTTATTCATGAAAATATGTGTATATTTATATAACTCTTACTGTGGAACATCTTGATGATTAGTATACACCAAGCTTCTTCTCTTTGCAAATAGATTTTGATTTTTAAATTATCTATTTAAAAATATATTTCCTTATATCCATATATTCTGTTCAATTAGATTATATTCTCGAGTACTCACTGAAATGTAATAGCACCCCCTTTGTTATGTGCTAAGAATGTGCGATACTATTGCTGTTATTATGGAACTTAGCATCAGAGAGTTGGATATGTGTATAATTACAAATGTGGATAAATCGTATGGAGGAAAGTAGAAGGAGTTCTGAGAGTCCTTTTTTGTTTTTTGAGACGGAGTCTCGCTCTGTTGCCCAGGCTGGAATGCAGTGGTGCGATCTTGGCTCACTGCAACTTCCACCTCCTGGGTTCAAGCTATTCTCCTGCCTCAGCTTCCTGAGTAGCTTGGACTACAGGCGCGTTCCACAATGCCCGGCTAATTTTTGTATTTTTAGTAGAGACAGGGTTTCACTATGTTGGCCAGGCTGGTCTCAAACTCCTGACCTCAGGTGATTTGCCCACCTCAGCCTCCCAAAATGCTAGGATTACAGGCATGAGCCACTGCGCCTGGCCAAGATTCCTTTTTTAACTTAAAAATTTTTTATTTATTTATCTTTAGGGACAGGATCTTACTATATTGCCCAGGGTAGCCTCAAACCCTGGACTCAAGTGATCCTCCTGCCTCCACCTCCCAAGTAGCTGTGACTATAGGTACACACTGCTGCACCCAGCTCCTTCTGAGAGTCTTTAACAGGCTCCCTGAAGATGTGACATATGAGATTTAGAGGGTGAATAGGAGGGAGTGAATTCGATTATAAGTGCTCTAGGCAGAAATAACAGCATTTAGTAAGGCTCTGAGACAGAAAGGAGAATGAATGAAAAGAAGAGCAATATGGCTAGAATGTGGAGAGTGAAGGAAACAGTCTTGTGACAGGTGAGGAAGGAGGCAGGGACATGCAGAGCTTTACATGCCATGTTAAAGAATTTGATTAGTGGGCTAGGAGGAATGGAAAGTCATTCTCTATTTCATTACATGAAGAATATTGTTTTTTAAATAGCCTTATTTTCTTAAATTATTTGTTTAAACTATTGACTATTTTCTTTCCCTGGATTCTTAACCTTTTTGAAAGGGTAGAGACATTCTTTGTCATGTTTGCCAATACCCTAGTGTAGAATAGTTGCCAGTGTGTGAGAGTTCGGTATATATTTGCTGAATAATCAACAGATGTACTCACTGAAGGATAATAATTGGAGGAAGGATGGGTAGATGGAAATATGGACAAACAGGGATAGATGAAAGGATGGAGGGAAGGAAGGATAGCTGGAGGAAAAGGTAGAGGAAAGGATAAATGGAAAAAAATGGAAGTATAGGATGTGTACAGACAAGTGAAGAGAGGAAGGGGGAAAGAAAAGAAGACAGAAGGGAGGAAGAAATTAACAAAGGAGTGAAAGAATTTTAAGTAGACAATCAGATTTTTGGTTTGAAATTCTCCCTGGCTATTGGGGCAAAAGCGAATGGTAAGAGATAATTTCTTAACACTTTTTATCAAAGAGATGATGATAGCATGGATTGGAAAGATGATGATGAGATAGGGAAAAGTGGAGTTATCCATTAGGAAGTAAAATAAACAGGACTTAATTTGGGATTAGCTATGGAAGATGAGGGATTGGTAGGGGCTGCCTGGGTTTCTGTAAGTTACCAGATAACCCACAGGTGGCATTTTAGTTTTTAGAGAATTGCAGTACATTACTCCTCTTTCTCTTGTTCTCCTCCTTCTCTCCCTTCCCTTTCCCTCTCTTCATGTTTCTCAGTTTTTCTTTTTCTAACTCTCTTTTTCCCTCTCCATCTGATTATTCACTCTATAAGGATTTTCAAGTCTCCGTTCTATGGAAGAAATACCCAGATGTCTGTTGATTGAATCTTAGATGGAGGTGTTCAGGGAATTTTGTGCAGAGACCTCTGCTGGTTGTAAAACATTTGTGTGTGTGTGTGTTTCATCTTCACCACTAAATGACTTTATGATTTAGGAAAAATCTTTTGATACCACATATCTCAATTTCATTATTAAAGGGGGAGAATATCTGTCCTATTGACTTGGAGGTTTTTCTAGGGTATAAATGAATTACATCCTAAGTGTGAATTGCTATTATGTTAATGATATAGCCAATTTTATATTAAAGCACATTATTGCATATGTTTTATGTTTCTATTACTTTGAAAATATATACATAATTTCCTGGACACTTAACATTTTAAGAAGCCTCCTAATCTAAAAGGTAAAATAAGTATGACAAGTAGTCTATTACTTGATAGGATGAGTTTCTTGAATATGTGAATGCCTCTAGGCAAGCTTGTTTTAAAAGACCTTAGATTGTCTTTTTTTACTAAGAAAAATAAGGAGTTGAACTGAATGTTCTTTAAGACCCTTGTTACATAAAT
Source organism: Homo sapiens (assembly GCF_000001405.40). NCBI lineage: Eukaryota > Metazoa > Chordata > Mammalia > Primates > Hominidae > Homo > Homo sapiens. The sequence goes on along the minus strand of NC_000013.11, from coordinate 77,273,834 downwards.
ATTTTAACTTTTGGGGAAGAGAGTAACTAGAAAGAAACTAAAGCAAAGTAATTGTTCTAGATTCCTTAAATTTCGTTTATAATGAGACAAAGTAAAAATAAATAAATATACGCATATAATGTTCCGTATGTTGGATGAATATAATTGAATTCTATTTTATCCACAGAGTCTCTCTTCCAGCTTCTTTTGGAAATCACCGTTCGAAGTACTGGGATGAATGACAGCACAGGACAGTCCTTAACAGCACTTTCCTGTGCTTGCCTCTTTAGTCTGGTGGCTTCTTGGGGAGAAACAGGAAGGACACTTCAGGCCATCTCTGCTATCCTCACCAACAATGGAAGCCATGCTTGCCAAACTATTCAGGTATTTCATATTTATATCTGCTTAGAAGTTTATAAGATGACAAGTTACAGTTTCGTCTCAATTTCTGTCAATAGGAATTCTGCTTTTTCTCACTCATTACAGTAGCTTAATCTGTCCAAGATTGATACATAAATAATCTACAGTATTTCAATTAAGTGATATGTATGTTTAACTCTGAAGCTTTAAATATAATAAAATGAATTTTGGCCAGACCTCTTAAATCTTTAAGCTGGTCTTTGCCTTAACACCATAGCCTTCTCTTTCCTTGCTGTTTTCTTGCTGTCTGCGTTCTCCCTTCTTCCCATCTTTCCCTGAGTTTTTTAGTATGGAATTCATTCATGGTTTTAAATATCTTTTCTCTATTGAAAGAAAAAGATATGGTATCAATCTGATATATTTTTGATTGGTTGATTATGATTTTTTTATGAATTGATTCGTTTCTGAGTTACTTCAGCTGTGTATAAAACATTTTAGGCTTTTAATATTCAGTTGTGGAACAAACAAGCTCATCACCATTTTAGTGGTGGGAAAAATAATCCTTATAGGCAAACTTGACTTAATTATTTGGGAAGGCTCTGGAAATTGAGAAAGAAGTTATGATCTTAAGACCTGACTGTCTACTCTTCTCTGGCCCCTTGGGCAACCCTAGGGCAGGTGGAAGGGATGCCTCAATCCTGTTATTAGCAGACCAAAGATAGCAAAAGGAGTATATTGGTCATTTTCTGTCTTATTCAGTGATTTTGAACTCTCCTGGTCAAACAAGACCCATTCCCTTACTCAAGATTTCTGCTCTTTTCTTCCTTTCTGCCTTGCTTGGAATCCTTTTGTCCCTTTTTATGGTCCTTAATTATTTTGAAGTTGCTCTAATACAGTGGTTTTCAAGCTGTGTTCTGTAGACATGCTTTCAGGGTTTGGCAAATGTTTAATTTAAATATATGTTTAAAATATGCAAATATTTTAAAAATTGTAATAAAGTAACACAAACATTCAGATACCATATACCAGATTTTAATAGGATAGTGACCACCAACATATGAGCTTATGAATTTTGATATGATTTGCTTTTATATAGAGACTTAGGAATGCCATTAGAGCTCATAGCAGGAGTATAAGAACTACGTTCATGGAAAGCCTCCCAGAGGATATGAGGTGAGATCTAAACTAATGAGTTGAAATCAGCCAGGAGAAATTTTTGGTGTTGGTGGTGTAGAGAGAGAATGTTCTAGGTATCCACATGCTAAGGCATGGAGGTGAGAGTAAGAGTGAAATATTTGAAAGCTGAAAGAAGTTTAGTATAGCTATAGCATAGAGAGCTGTCAAATAGCGTAGCCACAGCATACAGAGCTGGCAAATAACAGAGACAGGACTCGAGGGCTTATCTGTCTCCAATATTTATGCTCAATCACTAGACAACACAAAACTACTTGATCCTCTGAATCAATAGCTGCAGTTCTCTACAGACCTGCCACATCACCACATCCCCAACTCTAGCCTAAACTCCATATTAAAGCCCATTACCTTAACATGGCTTGCAGTGCTCTTCATGATTTGGCCTTTTATCTACCAACTTCATTTCCCAAAACTCTCCTGGCCTGACTGTTGGTAGAGGGAGAAAAGCTTTCCCTGAGAATGTGTGCATTAAGTCCGTTTTCACGCTGCTGATAGAGATGTACCCGAGACTGGGCAATTTACAAAAGAAAGAGGTTTAATGGATTTATAGTTCCACATGGCTGGAGAAACCTCACAATCATGGTGGAAGGCAAGGAGGAGCAAGTCATGTCTTACGTGGATGGCAGCAGGCAAAGAGAGCTTGTTCAGGGAAATTCCTCTTTATAAAACCATCAGATCTCGTGAGGCTTATTCGCTATCATGAGAACAGCACAGGAAAGACTTGCCCCCATGATCCAGTTACCTCCCACTGGGTCCCTTCCACAACACGTGGGAATTCAAGATGAGATTTGAGTGGGAACACAACCAAACCATATGAGTATGTGTAACTCTTCACATCTCAGATTTGTTTTGGCACCCAAATGCATACTACTTGTCCATTTCATAAAGCTTAACAGAGAGTTTAAAGCAGGGTAGACATGGTAGTACTGCAAGATGCTGTATTGAAAGACACTGAAATCCTTTCTGGAGGGTTGAACTCTTGACTTCAAAGGCTTTCTGCAAATAAAACACTATTTATTGCATTTGAGCTCAGAAACAAATTAATAAAAAAAGCACATGGAAAAAGGCACCATTATTGAGAATTAGCAGAAACAAATATGGTAGAATCAATCCTGCCAAGTCCTTAGATATTGAAATTATTTGATATAGAATGTGTATGTGTATGAATATATAAAGTATGGTTAAAGTAATAAAAGAAAATATCAAAAGTATGATTAAGTAGTGAGAATATAAAAAGTAGTCAGACATTAGGAAAAAAAACAAATCGAACTCCTAGAAATGAAAAACCAAATAATTACAATTAGAAACTTAAAATGGGTTAACTATTGTATAATATGGTTGAAGATGGAAATGGTGAACTGAAAGATAAAGAGGAAGAAATTATCTAGAATGCAACAGAGAGACAAGGAGAGAAATATGGAAGATAAAATAAGAAACATGGATCGAGAATGACAAAATCTAATGTAATACAATCTGAGTTCCACAAGGCAATAATAGATTTGTGGAGATAGAGTACTTGAAATAATGGCTAAGATTTTACAGAATTGGTGAATGACATGGAATCCCAAGAGTAAGGAAGTCTACCTTGCTTGAGATTTGCTTCTTATAGATGAACTTTTAGTTGGTACTTTTTGCTGGCATGCGAAATATCATTCTGAACAATTTATTGTCTTATGAATGATGATGTATTACCAAAGTATCTTTGTTCTGTGTTTGTAACATTTAAAAATGTTTTTTCATTATTTTTCTTCTCTTTTGATTAGGTGCCAACAATTCTAAATTCGCTACAGAGAAGTGTACAAGCAGTTTTGGTGGGAAAAATTCAAATTCAGGACTGGTTTAGTAATGGCATTAAGAAAGCAGCTTTAATGCACAAGTGGCCATTAAAAGAAATATCTGTTGATGAAGATGACCAATGTCTACTTCAGAATGATGGATTTTTTCTTTATCTATTATGCAAGGATGGATTATATAAAATAGGCTCTGGATACAGTGGAACAGTTAGGGTAATGTGATTCCTTACAGTTCCTTAATTATACAGAGTTATAACCATAATGAATTGTGTTCTGTGTGTTTCTAGTTTCATTTCTAGAATATGATCTAATTTTAGTGTAATAATATTTATTTGAAAACCATAATTGAAATACATGCATTAAATGTCATTCACCCATTTGTATTATTTTTCATTGATTATTAATTATGAAACCACTGATATACTAACTTTTGTTTTTTTTGCAGGGCCATATATACAATTCTACATCCCGTATTAGAAACAGAAAAGAAAAAAAGTCTTGGTTAGGGTATGCTCAGGTAAGAAACTATCCACAATAAACCAAAATTTTCTTATCTTTTACAACATGTGATTTGTCCTTGTTTAATCAGTAATATCACTTCTATTTAAACAGAAATGATAATATATTTTTACTAATATGGCCATAATAACTGAATAGTGTAGCGTAAAGAACACTGTCTCAGAACTCATAAGAGGTTCAATTTTAGTTCTGGCCCTGCTTCCTACTAGCTGTATGACTGGACAACTCAGTTAACTTATTGGGTCCTCTGTTATTTAGCTTTAATATGGGATTAAACATACCTTCTTTAGAGTTCTTGTGTAAGTGAGCCTCTAGATAAGAATTGAAGACCACCTTTATCATTAGCACATTTTTTTTTTTAATTGAGACAGAATCTCGCTGTGTCACCCAGGTTAGAGTGGAGTGGCACAGTCTCGGCTCACTGCAACCTCTGCCTCCTGAGTTCAAGTGATTCTTGTGCCTCAGCTTCCTGAGAAGGCCCATGCCACCATGCCTAGCTAATTTTTTTGTATTTTTAGTAGAGACAGGGTTTTGTCATTTTGGCCAGGTTGGTCTCAAACCCCTGACCTGAAGTGAGCCACCCGCCTGGGCCTCCCAGAGTGCTGGGATTACAGGCCTGAGCCACCCCACCCAGCCTCATTAGCACATTTAAATTGGAAATGTATACATGTCCTGAGGCCAAATTAGGGTTTCTTACCACAGACTCTTTCATTTTAGTCTAGATTCAGTACTTTCTAGGAAACAGTGTTTGGCCTACTCAGTAGACAGCTACCTGCATGAAGAATATGCAAAGAATCACAAGAGAGAAAGAAAAGCCCTGGGTTTTTGTGTCTTAATGCTGTGATCTTATCTCCTGACCAACATAGTCAGATAGGTGTTAGCCTTTTACAAGGTCAGCAGCCAGATGGATACATTACTCCTCTTATGGAGAAAAGCAAATGAAGGATGGACAAGAGGGACTAGAAATATTTTTTTCCATACAGTACCTACCTGAACAGTGAAGCCCAAGTTCCTTTGTATAAGGATAAAGAATAAAGATTTCCCTGCATGCCTGCCTTGCTGAGCTTGTGAGATTTGTTGTCAGGATCAAATGATAAAAGATATTTGAAAGTCTTTTGAAAACTATGGAAATTACTATTGTTACATGAAGAATAATTCTACTGTATCACCTATTGGGGAGAATTTGAAATTAAATTTTTTTTTTTTTTTGGAGTTGTAGTTTTGCTCTTGTCGCTGAGGCTGGAATGCAGTGGCGTGATCTCAGCTCACTGCAACCTCCGCCTCCCAGGTTCAGGCGATTCTCTTGCCTCAGCCTCCCGAGTAGCTGGGATTACAGGTGCCCACCACCACGTCCAGCTAATTTTTGTATTTTTAGTAGAGACGGGTTTAACCATGCCGGCCAGGCTTGTCTCGAACTCTTAATCCCAGGTGATCCACCTGCCTCAGCCTCCCAAAGTGCTGGGATTACAGGCGTGAGCCACCGCCCCCAGCCTGAAATTAAATTTTAGATAACAAATTAGTTTCTCAGTAATTGTCTCTTAAAAATTGAACTTAGTTTAAAATATCTCATCAGATTTTTATTTGCCACTCTATTGTGTTTTATCTAAGAAATAATGCCGTGGAAAGTATATTATTATAGCAGTGTGTTCAATGGCATACCACACCTTCTGAAACCACTATGCTATTCATTTTCAAATAGCAAACTCAATACTTGTTATTTTTCTTAAAGTACTTGTTAAAGTAACAGTGATCATTCATATTATTTACTTGGCAAGTGGTATGGTCATTTTGAACAAAATGTTTGTAACTGTACTGTCCTGTTTAGTATACCTAATTATGTTTCTGGGAATATGTTACATCAATTTTCAATAATGTATGACTTTTCCTCTAATTGAGAGGAATGTTCTTATATTTTTAATCATTAATATCTTTTAGACATCAATATTGATGTATTATTGTACCTCAAAAACCTGTAATATGGAGCTGTATGGCTGCTGTTTCTGCTGAATTAGTAATAAATATTTTAACAGGAAAATTTTTTGCTGTTATCAGGGTTATTTATTATATAGAGATGTGAATAACCACAGCATGACAGCCATAAGGATAAGCCCTGAAACACTGGAGCAAGATGGTACTGTGATGTTACCAGGTATGTTTCAAGTAGTCATTTTTTCTCCACAAGCAATTTTAAGAAATGTGCATGTTAAGCTATTTAGACACATAAAGAATGATTAGCAAGGGATAGTGCTTGCTTATAAAAGGGTTTTAAAAATCTTGACATACAAAGCATTTTATAGTCTACGTGAAGTTAATACATATCAAGAGAATAGACATAGAAATATAACAAGTTTTAATATTTGTTTTCAAACTTGGCCGTCTATGGCCTAATCTCTGACCTCACCCCACCACTGCTGAATTAGTGGGGTGATGTAACTGTGTTGCTCTTAATAAAAATCAGAACTCTGGCTCTCATGTGACTCAGTATAAAGAACCTTCTGTTTATTTTTACTTTAACAACAGTGCAGTTGGGTTTTCCTCCTTATTTAATTTAATTTAATTTTATTTAATTTAATTTAATTTTATTTTATTTTATTTTATGTTAAAGGGGTTTCAGAGACAGAGAGTTTAGGGTAGGTCAGGAATTTTTTTTTTTAATTTCATCATTTATGCTTCTTATGCTTCTTAATACTTTGATAAAGGTCTTTGGACACAGTTTATTTTGCTTTAATTTTGAGGCTTTTATATATTCACTTAAATCACTGCTAAATTATCAGGCAGTAGGTCTCCAATTTTGATGAATGCTGGAAAAATGCATATTCTTTATTGTAAGATCTTTGAATTTGTTTATAATGTTGATACTTTCTGAGGCTGTTTATATTAAAATCTTGAGTGTCTAATGTGTCTGTCAATAATTTCATAGTAGCAATATTACTTGTAAGCGTTTGACCATCTGAAAGTGAGAGCTACTTCTGAAGAGTGCATTGAGAAGAATAATTGCTCCTGGGCTGCATGTTTATTTTTAAATATAATCTTAATAATTTCATCAAACATTTATTTGAACCTTACTACATATACATAGATACATATTAGTGTACATGACACTATGTTAAAGTAAATATGACATTTCATGTCCATTTCAGAAATAGAGGAGCTTTGGAAAGCGGATGACTTAATAAAATCATTTTGAAAATAACCATCTATTTTCAGATATGTCTACAGGGTTTTTTTTTTTTTTTTTTTTTTCATTACAAGTCCTGGACCATGTCTTTGGTCATAATAATAATAATAATAATGACAATAATATTAAAAAATACTTTTAATAACATGCACACTCCCCCCACATATTTATACATATATTGAAAGTAATCATGTTTGTTGTATAAAAATCATATGAACAAAAAAGAATGAATTGAAATAATTATAATCCCACTTCCCATATATAAACACTATGAACATATTGGTAAATATCCTTCTCGTATTTTTCCTTTGTGTATATGTCCATACTTGTAAAAAAGTGTGATCATATGCTACATATTGCTTTTTTAATCTATCTCTTTCACTTAATATTCTGAAAATATTTCTAGGTCATTAAATAGTCTTCTACAATGTCACTTAAATGTTACAAAATATATTCCATTGATTAATGTTTGAGAATGAAAGCCTTCCAGGGTTTTGCTATATAAATTACACTGTAATGAGCGTTCCTATCGTGCTGTCTTTGTGCCAGTCATTTTAGGATAATGACATAGAAGAAAAATTCTAAATTGACACATCCCATCCGCTATAACACATGGGTACTAATATCAAGGATTTACTTCTGAGAAACCCTGCACATTTAATAGAGACTGTGACTTATTGATAAGACAATTTGAAAATATGTGCCTACAGCTGTTTTATTTATTCTGCCTTGATAAAAAAATTACTCGTTAATGTCTTTATTCAGTTTAAATCTCGTTGCTTTGTTTAACTTGTGAAATGCAACTTTGAACAATACAAGTGTGGCTTTCTGTGTTTCATAAGTGTGTGCTGTATTAGTGGTGAAGAATGAACCAAACTTCAGGAAGATAGTCCCATATTTGTCTTCAGAACTGGCAGATGTTGCTTGATATATTCCTGAAGATACAAGCTTAAAATATTACATGATGGATAAAGAAAGGATAAAGAGAAAATCTTGAAATCACGTGGCAGAAGACTCCTCCCTCAAGCCTGAAGAAGCCTTTTGTAATTTTCTTGTTTCTTTGACCTGGACTGAATTTTCATCCAATAGCACTTTTTGTTTTTCGTGGGTAGGAATAGCTCTGCTCTGTAGCCTTCCAATCAAGGAGCAGAAGTAAATTGTCAGGTTTATAGATGGTAATGAATACCATGTTTCAAGTTGACATAAATCAGGTAATTCCTTGAGCTTCATGTTCCAGCTTGTCTTACAGTATAGTTTATTTAAAAAGTATTTCAACCTTGTTTTGATGAACTTAAAACATACTTTTTTTATCTGATAATTGTCATTTTATTCTTTAAACCTCGGCTTATCTTACAGATTGTATCTTTATGTCATTTTCTCTCCATGTCTGGTGACAGGTTGCCTCAGTTCATGAGGCTTTTTGCTACTCTTCTTGCGCCGCTTCACTCCTCACCCCTGCGTTTATCTGAAATTATAATGAGTTTTTCTTCTTTGCTTTTTAGTTTAAAATCTTACTGCTTAGAGCTTGAGAAGCATCTTTCTTGCGCCTCTTTGTGTTCTGTACAGTGGACTAGGAACTCTTTCTTTTGATTTCTCCTCTCTTTGATTACCAAGTCTCTTGGGCTACCAGTGGGCCTTGTCTCCCAGTTTCTATTTCCAGTTTGTGATCCCTGAATTCTCTATTTGGTAAGGGTCTGCCTGTGTTTTGCATATTTATGATAAGGAAGTATGCTAGTATGAAGCTCCTGGGCAAAGATAAAGAATAATCCAGCTTATTCGGGTGGGCTCCATTACTGCATTTCAAAATCAGAATTTTATGTTTTGTTGATTCAGGTGCAACTAGAAATGAAATGTTATTTTTTGTTTTGGTATTGTGATTAATGGAGAGATTCATCCTAGTTTTCTGCAGTTATTTTGGGAAGTATGTGTGTGTGTGTGTGTGTGCTTTTAACTTGCTTGCTGAAAATTTGTTTTTCCAAAAGGACAGAATTTATCCTTGATGTTGATTTTGCTTGTAGTTTTGTGTTATTTAGTAGCAATCACTAACACGTGTTCCTGTGGTCCTTCTGTAATACTGGTATCCCTTGTTACAATTGAGCTTGTGCATTATTTTGATCAAAGTATATGGTGTACTATTCTATGGAGATACATGCAGTATTGATGAAATATGGTATTCTAGCCAAGATACATGACTGCTTTGAGATAAAAATAAAAGCATAAGCATATATTTGTCTGCTCTTGTTGGACAAACATTTAAAAAGTTTAGAGCACACTAAATGCTAAAAATGCTGTGAATAAACATTGAATTTTTAAGTGGGAAATGTACAACTGGTTTTGAATATCCATTTTACAAAGCAAGGGATATCTGTAGTTGGACACAATAGATGTCAAATACAGAAGCTTTAGGTCGTATTTTTCTGTGACACTAATGACTGTGATGTATGTCTGAGAGTAGAGTGTTGCCTCCATTGCATGTGATTGTATTGAAATGATTGTAACCAACATTATAGTTTGTTCATCGTGGTGCATGTTTACTGTCAGACTATATCTAATACTAATTCATTTTGAAATTAGGTGGGATCTCAGGTCCTTGGTTATGGAAGATTTATAAATATAAGCAAAAATGTAATAAGTATGATTAGTTGAATTAGTTTCTGCTAATTTATAATTCTTTATTAAAAAGCACAGTCTCCTTTTGAGTTTATCCTTATTGCGTGGAGAACTCTCATTTTGACTTCAACAGAGGAGTAAATTCATTTTGCAAGGTGTTTGCTTGTATTGTAATATAAATACTTTTTCTTTTGCACAGATTGCCACACTGAAGGTCAAAATATTTTATTCACTGATGGAGAATATATTAATCAGATAGCTGCTTCAAGAGATGTAAGTATCCTGAATCTTAAGTAGCTAGTGTAAATGGAATTCCTTTTCCTTAAATTATTTAGCTTTTATTAGATAGACTGTAGAGCCTTGAACGACCTCTTTATGTAATGTAATGCTGTGGATGTTTTATTTTTCTTAGGATGGCTTTGTTGTCAGAATATTTGCCACAAGCACTGAACCTGTTCTACAGCAAGAATTGCAACTTAAACTGGCTAGAAAATGCTTACATGCCTGTGGTATCTCACTATTCGATCTGGAAAAGGACTTGCATATTATAAGTAAGATAGCAAATTAAGTGTTTTCCCTATATTTTAATTTTCAATTTTTCATACTCTTAAAAATGAACATTGTGTTTTCACCAGTTCAGCTTATGTTGTAGCAGCTATTTTGTGTCTGTTACTATTAATATAAAGGATAATTTTGAATTAATATGAATAAATAACTGGGAAACACAGTCTTTAAACAAAGTATGATATTTGAAGACCATTCTAAGGAATTGACTAATAATTTCTCTTTTTTGCTTTGAATAGAGCAAAAGAAAATAAAATTTAATGAGAATTATGGATGGATATTGGTGAATGTCATTAGTTTATATGCTGCATCATTTTTCAACTATTTAAAAATTTGAAAACTTACGTTGTAAATGTTATTACAACAATATACATAGTTCTCTCGTTGAAATTTTTAAAGTTTTTACTTGAATAGATTTTCAAGGTAACTATAGAATGATCTCATAGATTGTCAAAATGGTAATTGGCCTTACACACGGATCAGTAATCTTTCACTTGGATAGAGAAATACAGATAACCACAGAGTATTTCTTGGGCTTAGATTATTTACTTTTGTAATGTTGTAAAAGTAATTAGGATCATGAGTTCTCCTGAGAGTTTTAGTTTTGGCTTGCCATGCCACTCCAGGTTTAATAGTGACCTTCCGTAACTTGTAGGGTTCTTTGCAAGATCCATCTTTTTTGACTGTTATCTCATTACATTTCATAAACTTGGCATTAGTGCTTTACTTTCTATATTCTAATTATGTAGTATTTTTATAATTCTTCCCTAGAAAAATCTTGAATTGAAATTACAGATTTAAAATTTTTAAAGCCCATAAACTAGTTAGTAGTTTGTATAGCTGGACAAAGTCATAAAATGTACCATATGTAAAGCTACAATTACTCATAGTTTTACAATTTGAAAATATGCATAAGGATCTGTGTGTGTATATGCATATTTACATATATATATATTTGAATTGATGGAGTAGCTATATAAGATGTCTTTCTGTAGAAAAAGACATAGGCAGAGAATCTGAAATACTTTAATTCAAATATCTGCATGGCATTGTTCCAAGCTTGAATGACTCTGTGTCTGGACTAACCTCTCCAACCTTTATATATGCTTATTTGTAAACCAAGTGGTATAGTTGTGAGAATCAAATGAGATAAATTTTGTGAATTGTATAATGCCTGGTACCTAATAAACGCTCAATAAAACTTTGAGCATTTATACATTAATTCAAGGAATATTGCTGACATTGAATTTTTAAATTTTTTTGTCGTATATTTAAAAAATTAATTTGGTACTGGTTTGGAACAAGAGAAACAGATTATGATAACTTTATCTTTCCTTGGAGTACTATACCTATGGTTAATATTTTTAAAAATTTGAGCACATGACATTTTGTCATCCTTGTTTTTTAGTGATTTTGAATTGACATTGCAATCACTTAAAATAGTGCATGTTGTATTTAGAATTCTTCATATTAGAAATGCAATAGTATTTATTAGTCTCGTATTTCAGGTACAGGATTTGATGAGGAGTCAGCAATTCTTGGTGCAGGACGAGAGTTTGCGCTAATGAAAACAGCAAATGGAAAGGTAAATTATTCTCTTTGGATTAAAAATGAGCATTCTCTGATTTAAGAGATTAAAATACAATCTGTTGATTAGTTTATATAGTTTGCATGTTTAAGAAGAATCATCTTTTAAATTTTGATTTAAAATTATTTTTTATAAGATAAAATTTTATTCATGTAGGGAACAGTACAGGCATGCCTCATTTTATTGTGCTTAGTTTTGTTACACTTCACAAATAATTGCTCTTTTTACAAATTGAAGGTTTGTGACAACCCTGAGTTGAGCAAGTCTGTTGGCATCATTTTTCTAACCGCCTGTGCTCACTTTGTGTCTCTGTGTCACACTTTGGTAATTCTCGAAATATTTCAGACTTCTTTATTATTATTATATCTGTTATGGTGATCTGTTATCTTTGATGTTACTATTGTAATTATTTTAGGGTGCTGTGAATTGTGCCTATAGAAGACAGGAAACTTAATGGATAAAAGATATGAAAAAGCTATTATGAACTGTGTCTTCTTGGCAAAATATGTGTATTTCTTGCTCAACTCCCAGAAGCTGAATAGTGTAAAAAAGAGTTTGTTTTTATGTGAATTTTATTTTTCAATAAAATATTGATGTCCTTTTTTTTCCTCATGTGAAACCTGATGCACTATTCCAAAAAGTACCATAATTCCTTTTTTTTTTTAATACATAAGATATATTACACTGGCAAATACCAGAGTCTTGGAATCAAACAAGGTGGTCCTTCAGCAGGAAAATGGGTTGAGCTACCAATTACAAAATCTCCAAAGATAGTACACTTCTCAGTTGGACACGATGGCTCTCACGCCCTTTTAGTTGCAGAAGATGGGAGCATATTCTTTACAGGATCTGCTAGTAAAGGAGAAGATGGAGAATCAAGTAAGTTGAGTGATCAACTATGCATTTAATAAAAATAAATGCTTTATTTTAGTAAAAATAAAACTTTATTAAGATAAAGTTTATGAATTTCAATAACACCACACCAACTTTATATATATATCATTGACTTGATGTAACTGCTTAATAAATACATATTGAATGAATGAGGAACTTATTTTACTTTCCAGGATCTAACAAGAATACATGTGAATTACAACTTGGGAAAAAAAGGAGATTTTAGATATGTGTTAGTAGAATGGTATTAATAATGCAATAGCTAATTTAGAGATTGGGCCCTCCAGGAGTTTGGTAGAAAACTAATATTACTCACTGAGAATTTGAATGTACTTCAGGGAATGAGGATCTAGCAATGATAGCGTAAATATTAATTGACCAGATGAGGCTAGCAGGTTCACTGATTTTAAATGACATGTTGGGAAGCCCAGGCCTTTGTGAAAATAAACAAATAGTGTCATAAATGCAAATAATATGGGTTTTTTTTTTAGCTTTATATACAAACCATTATTATTATTATTTGTACATAGAGGTCTTGATTTAATCTAATTTCTTTTTTAAAGCTAAGAGCAGACGGCAATCCAAACCTTATAAACCTAAAAAGATAATTAAGATGGAAGGAAAGATTGTGGTATATACAGCCTGCAATAATGGAAGTAGTTCTGTTATTTCTAAAGATGGAGAACTCTACATGTTTGGAAAAGATGCCATTTACTCTGATAGTTCAAGTAAGTTAATAAAAAGTTTTACTTTTATGCAAAGAAGTTTCAATACTAGTTATGTATGACAAAGACATATCTAGAAAATTTATGTTGGTGGCATGCTTTCTCTACATTTTTTACATTTCCTTCCAAATGTGAAATATTTCGAAAGAGAAATTTTCTGTCATATCTTGTCACTAGGAGCACTGTCCCTAGTTTCATGCAAAGCTAATCATAGAGCTTGGCAAGGGAAGCTTCGCTGTAGCTGTGACTTCTGTGGATGTTTTCCCTAGACTCAGGTGCTTATGGGACATGTCCCTGGGACAGTGGTAGTATCCTGAAGAAGTGATTTTCATGACATAGCTAGTTTATAATTGTTGAAGTATTTTATCTCCCCCATTAGGGTGTTTGGCTGGGATGATCTGTCTTATTTACTATTCTATCCCCAGTGCCCAGCACAGTGTCTGGCACATTGTAGGGTCTCAAGAATTATTTTCTAGTGCCTGGGTGACTGATAAACCAAAAGTTTGAGAAGTGGATATGAGGGGTAGAACTAGCTAAATGGTTTTATATTTATAAATGCTAATCTCAAAAACTTGTCATATTTGGTTACTAGATTTTCTTTCTAGCAGCTAGAAATGAATATAATGAGTGAAGCATCCCACTTGGAAGGATTTTATGTGTGATAAATATGTAAAGCCTTTGAGTTTCTTTGTAAAAAAGGAAACTAGAATTAATGAAGTTTATGATTAGAAATATATGTAATTGTCCCATGCTGGGGAAATTACACCTGTAGAACATTTATAGCAATTAATTATTAAGTGGAGGTGTACCCAGATGATAAGTGAACTGGCTTAATGTTGTAATATTTAGATTCTCAATTGGCTGCAGCTATCAGAGTAAATCAAAATTTGGGAGTGGGTTCTTGTACAGTTTAAAAATAATATTCAATATAATTGTTGCTTGCTAACATCCACTGGGTAGAGCTGATGGAAACTTGTATATTTCTTCAACATATATTTATTGAGCATGGGTGATACATTAGTGATTGATGGACCTGACAGACCTGGATACTGCCTTTTTGAGGATCCGAGAGACAGTTGGGTATTACAGAACTTAAATATTGGGGAAGTGGTATTGAATGGTTATGGACATAGACTGAGATCCTAGCACCAACACTTTTTTTTTTTGAGAGGGAGTCTCACTCTGTCTCCCAGGCTGGAGTGCAGTGGCACAATCTCAGCTTACTGCAACCTCTGCCTCCTAGGTTCCAGCGATTGTCCCACCTCAGCCTCCCAAGTAGCTGAGATTATAGGCACGTGCCACAACACCCAGCTAATTTTTTGTATTTTTTGTATTTTTAGTAGAGACGAGGTTTCACTGTGTTGGCCAGGCTGGTCTCGAACTCCTGACCTCAAGTGATACACTCGCCTCAGCCTCCTCAAGTGCTGGGAATACAGGCGTGAGCCACCGCGCATGGCCCTTGGCACCAACGCTTTTAATTGGGTAACAGTTTACTTAATCTTTAACTGGGTAACAGTTTACTAAACATTTAAGAGTTTTCTTTTTGTTTTTTTCTACCTGCAAAAAATAGATAATGATAGCACCTGCTTCATATAGTTGTTATGAAGATTATAGGAGGTAGAACTTAAGAAATGCTTAGCACATCATGTAAGGTCTCAAAGCATGTCAGCTAGTACTGTTAATAATAATAATAAATAACTACTGTTTTATATATATACACACACCCTTACCTTTTTCAAATGTGCTAAATATTAAAAGTGGAAATTTTTGAGGTATAATTAACAAAAAGACCTAAACTAGTGAAAGGTGAAAGTGAAGGCCACCTTAAGGTAGTGATATCTGAGCTAATAATGTAGAACAGTTTTCCCAAAGCATAATATGAGATTGATACTATTTGTAATTTAAATAAAACAAATACTTGATAACATGTTTTTATTTTAATGTATATTGGAAAAATAATAATCTTTGATTGTTAATGTTAAAGATGCTTCAATCAATTTAGAGTTGATACAAAACATATTAAATAGATAATATGAGTGGCACTTGGATATGACAAATATAATGAAAGTAATACATGAATAAGTGAAGTTTAGAAAATAACTGTGTATTGGATTGTGGAAGAAAGCATTGTAGGTTGAAAAGGATTAAAAAATACTGTTTTGAAAAGTCTCACTGGTTTCTACATAAACAATTTCATGTCAATATACTATGGCAAGTATTTTACTTTGTTTTGCTGAGGCAGGTCAAAGCAGGTAAAATAAATTATTTATGGACTCCTTTGTGCTTAGACCAGAAAAGTTTGAAAGTACTGTGGAGAGGTATTACCATTTGGAGGAAGCATTCAGGAGAAGTAAGCTTGAGAGAAAGCTACAGTAAAGATATGTCCCAAGTCTGGATGATAATGTTTTAGGATTCACTGAAGCTACGTTACAAAGTTACAAAGTTAATTCAGTGATACTCTGCCAGTCTTTTGGCTACTTATTTCTCATTTTGTTGAGTTATTTTGCCCCAGAAATAAACGGTTCTGCATTGAGGTAGTTCTTTTACTAGGCTCAGAAGGGCCTTTTTGTTGTTTTTACTAAATTTGTTTCTTTCCTATAGGTTTGGTAACTGATTTGAAGGGCCATTTTGTAACTCAGGTAGCTATGGGCAAAGCTCACACTTGTGTTTTAATGAAGAATGGAGAGGTGTGGACATTTGGTGTAAATAATAAAGGACAGTGTGGACGAGATACTGGTGCCATGAACCAAGGTGGGAAAGGTAGGTCTTTAATTCTTAGATATTAAAATTTGTGTTGTCTTTTCATTAGTTTTTCAGAACAACATAGTGAAAAGTCTTGTTCTTTTCAAAATGAGTGGCTCTTCTTTTTCTTTTTGTTCCTATTTAAATTTTTTTTAAAAATTTTATGGGTAGATAGTAGGTATATGTATGGGGTACATGAGTTGTTTTGATACAGGCCTACAATGTGTAATAATAATCACAGGGTAAATGGGGTCTCCATCATCTCAAGCATGTATCCTTTCTTTGTGTTATGAGCACTCCAGTTATACTCCCTCAGTTGTTAAAGTATACAAAAAATTATCGCCAACTGTAGCCACCCTGTTGTGCTATCAAATAGTAGATCTCTTGTATCTAATTATATTTTTGTGCCAACTAACCATCCCATTTCCCACCCACTCTCCCTGACTACCCTTCCCAGTCTCTAGTAACCAGCATTGTACTCTCTATCTTCATGAGTTCAATTGTTTTAATTTTTAGCTCCCACAAATGAGTGACAACATGTGAAGTTGGTCTTTCGGTGCCTGGCTTCTTTCACTTAACATAATATCCTCCAGTTACATCCTTGTTGTTGCAAATGATAGGATCTCAGTGTTTTTTATGGTTAAATAGTACTACCTTGTGTTTATATGCCACATTTTCTTTATCCACTCATCTGTTGATGGACACTTAGGTTGCTTCCAAATCTTGGCTATTGTGAATAGTGCTGCAATAAACATGAGAGTGCAGATATCTCTTTGATGTACTAATTTCCTTTCTTTTGGGTATATCCATAGCAGTGGGATTGTTGGATCATATTGAGTTCTAGTTTCAGTTTTTTGGGGAAGCTCCATACTGTTCTCTCCAGAGTGGCTGTACTAAATTTACATTCTCACTAACAGTGTACAAGTGTTCCCTTTTCTCCACATCCTCTCCAACATTTGTTATTGCCTGTCTTTTGGATAAAAGCCACGTTAACTGGGGAGAGATGGTATCTCAGTGTAGTTTTGATTTGCATTTCTCTGATGATCCATGATGTTGAGCACCTTTTCATATACCTGTTTGCTATTCATATGTCTACTTTTGAAAAATGTCTATTCAGAACTTTTTCACATTTTTTAATTGGATTTGAGTGGCTCTTTGACGTTATATTTGTGAATTAGGAAAACCACTGAATTTCTTATTTATTTGATAATATTTACTGATAAAATATCACTGGAAAAACAAATACACTTTAGATTTTTTATTTTTGAGCAAATGTGCTGGCTTACTCCAATCATCTTCTAAATTCTACATAAAATAGTGCTTCTTTGGCTTAGCATCTTTGATGACTGCATTACTCCAGAAAAGTCTTTTCCAAACATTTTTTTATTAGCTGCTGTTACACGACATGTTTTAAATTTTAACCATTTTTGGCAGCAATCTTTCTGGCGTATATTATCTTCCCATTTAACAGCACATGCTACCTGTAATTTAACCTGTTCTTGACAACTAAGAGTGATCCTTATGAATATCTGACACTTTACCAAGAAAAGACTAAATTGTAGACACACCTTCTTCACAATATCCTTTGCTCCAACCCTCAGGCCATTGAAGAGAACAAAGGGCTTTCTCCTTTGATTGCCCTGTTTGCTGTGGTCTTGTTTTGTTGTTGTGGTTGTAAATAGCATGTCTACTTCTTGCCCTCAATTTTTATATCTAGCTGCTATCGTTATGTTTATAACTTTCACTCCAATTTCTGATTTTGGTCAAGAGATTAAACCATACATATATATTATTAGAACTAAGCGTTGAACTTTGGTTAAAGTACCAATAATTTCGAGGATTAATGCTGTATAAATTAACAAAACCTGGTTTTTCTGTTTTGAGGCTTTGATGTCAGACTCATCTGGATCTCAGAAACCCACCATTCTTTGTCTTTGCCTTATTCGTGTGTCTGTGTGTGTATTTAAAATGCATCACTTTAAAAATGAGCAAGTTACTAGAATATATTGGCAAATGAAGAAGGAACAAAAGAAAGAAAAGAAATGGATTACTTCACAATGGAAATACTTTGATTTATTACTAAATTAGTGAACTTGTTTTGGATAATAACTGCTAGGACAAAGGGGAGAATCGGGTTTTTTTAATATATAATATGAATATAT
The DNA here is from genome assembly GCF_000001405.40 of Homo sapiens. NCBI lineage: Eukaryota > Metazoa > Chordata > Mammalia > Primates > Hominidae > Homo > Homo sapiens. The sequence goes on along the minus strand of NC_000013.11, from coordinate 77,255,526 downwards.
ATTCAGATTATGTTTTATAAGAAGTCTGAACTAAACAACATTGTTTCCTTATTCTGAAACTCTTGTGAAAATTGAGCGTACATTTACACCTATGTTCTAGATTCTTCAGTGACATTTTGTAATAATCAAAGTAAAATTGTTAAAAGATTTTTTTAATAAGAATCATACCTACCCTGCTGGTAAGTAATGAATTAGAAAGCAGATGAGTAAAGTAAGACACATACAGTGCATACTGATTGCAGAGTCATAACAGATGCTGGGGAGAATGTGGAGAAAGGGGAATGCTCATACTTGGCTAGTGGAAATGTAAATTAGTACAGCAACTATGGAAAACATAGATTTTTCATTCGTATGAAGGTGACTCAAAAAACTGAAAATGGAGCTGCCACATGATCTAGCAATTCCACTTCTGGGTATATGTATCAAAAAGAAAGGAAATCTGTATGTCAGAGAGATGCCTGCATTCTCAGGTTTATCATAGCCATATCCACAACACCAAGATATGGAATCAACTTAAGTATCCATCAACAGATGAATGAGTAAAGAAAATGTGGTACATACACAATAGAATATTATTCATCCCTAAAAAAGAATGAAATATTGTTATTTGCAGAAACATGGATAGAACTGAAGGACATGATGTTAACTGCAATAAAATAAACCAGGGACAGAGACAAATATCACTCATATATGGGAACTAAAAAATTGATTTCATGGAGATAGTAAATAGAATAGTGATTACCAGAGACTTGTAAGGATAGTGGGAGGGGGAGAGGAAGAGTGGTTGGTTAATAGGTACAAAAATACAGTTAGAGAGAAGGAATAAGTTCTAATGTTCAGGAGCAGAGTAGGGTGAATGTCGTTAACAACAATATATTGTGTATTTCAAAATAGCTAGAAGAGAGAATTTAGAATATCCCAGTTATCTTGACTTGATCCCAGTTACCCAGATTTGATCATTAGACATTATATGCATGTATGAAAACTCACATATATGCCATAAATAGGTATAACAGTTATGTATCAATTTAAAACGAACGTAAAGGAATATTTTAAAAGTTTATTTAAACCAGGAAAGTACAGAACATATTGAAATATTAAAAAATTGTGTCTCTACCATGTCTTGTCATTTTTTTTCAGTTAAAAAAAAATCACAGATAAGATTCAAGTGCCCCATATCCCCCTTCCAAGGCTTATTATCATATTCCATTTCTCCCCAGAGCTAACCGCGATCATGACTTTGATAAGCATACGTTCAATCATGTTCTTATATATTTTTACATGTTCTTTTATATTTTATGTGTAAAATAATATTGCATAATGATGTCTGTTTTACACATAAAATATACTACTGTTTTATGTGTTTTTATAAGTGTTAATCTGTTATTTACATTTTTCTACAAATTTTTTTTTCTCATCATTCTGTTAGAAATATGTCCATGTTGGTACATATAAATCTAAATGATTCATGTTAACTAATGTGTAATATACCACACAGTGAACATGCTATAGTGTATCCATTCTCCTGTTGATGGATGGGCTTATTTCCAATTTTTCATTGTTATAAATGAGTTTAAAACCTCCTTTATAAATGTTTCCTGGAAAACCTGTGAGACTTTCTCTGATGTAATTGCTCTATTGTGGATTTCAGTTTTACTGGATTTTTCTTGAAAGAGATTGTAACAATTTATACTCTCACCAGTAGAGTTGGATTTTCCACATCACATCTGATATTGACAGACTGATTTTTGTCAGTTTGGTGGCTATGAAATGATACTGTAATTTTTTATTTGTTACATTGAAGTATAATATGCATGCAGGAAAATATACATAGTATCTTGATGAATTTTCTCAAATTGATTGTATTCATGTAATCAGCACCCAGATTAAGAAACCACATATTACCAGCAGCCCAGAAAGCCCCACTGTATGTTCCTCTCTGCCCTTCAGTTAATTACCATAAATTAGTTTTCTTTTTATACTTGATATAAGTGAAATCATGCAGTATGAACTCTTTTGTGTCCAGTTTCTTTTTATTGTTTTATGTTTATGAAGTTCATACATATTGTTACAAGTAGTTATAGATTGTTCATTTTTGTTCTATTAAATTATATATAGATACTACAGTTTTAAAATTGTTTCTAGTATTTGGGCATTTGGATGGTTTCCAGTTTTGGTTATTATGAATAATGTTGCTGTGAACATTCTAGTAAATGTCTTTTGGTGAAAGTGTTTATTCATGGCTTTTGGGTATATACCTAGGAGTAGAATTGCTGGTTCTCTCACTTTTCTTTTAATTTTCATTCCCTTGATTATTAATACTGAGTTTGAACATCTCTTCAAACTTTATTTTACTTACTAAAAATTGATTTGTAGGAGCTTTTTTACGTATTATGTTTTATATATCTTTGACTAACCTGTGGTTTACAGTTTCATTTGTTATGTATAATTTTAAAATTTTGATGTCAAAATTTTCAACCTTTTTCTTTATAAATTTTTGATGAATGTAGCCTGGTGAGAGATTTTATTTTCCATATAAATTAGAACCAGCTTTATTTGCTTGGCATTGTGATTGAGATTCCATTGACTGTAAAGATTAATTTGAGGATAATAGTTCCAGTATTGGAATGATTAAATGAGTAATGCTTATAGAGCTAGTTACAAATAGTGCTCAGTACATTTTAGCTATGATTATTGAAAATAGTCACTGAGGCTTCCTTCAGGATCACTTTATTCTAATCCTAGATATAGCTAGCTGATGCTTGGTTATCTAATTTTTCTGCTTGCCCATAGATTAGAAGTGGCAAAACCCCAAAAGGCTATATATGCTATGAGTTTATTTCTTGGTTAGATAGACCTGTATTGAGTGATAGCTGTATGTTAAATGGATGTGATAGGTGTGAGAGAATAAGATTGACTAAGAATAAGAGATATTATGAGCAAGACTTAACCTCATAACTTAGATCCTTTAGGAAAGTCAAATATAAAAAATAATTACTTGACTCCCACAGATTTGTTCTCCTGTCATAGGGTCTTATAACACTGTGTTCCTTCAAAACCCTACCAGTTGTAGTTTACATTTTTATTTGGTTATTTGATTAATGTCTGTCTTTCTTACTACATTATAAGCTTCATAACAGCTCAGTATTACCGTCTTCAGTTTCTAGAGCAGAGGTCTGCAGAGTATAACCTGATGTCATTTTTTTATATAGCCCTCTAAGCTAAAAATTGATTTTACATTGTAAGGATTGTAAAAAATGTGACAAAGATTTGTATGGGCCACAGAGCCTAAATTATTTACTGGCTCTTTATAAAAGGTTTGCTGATTTCTTGCCGTGAAGGAATCCCTGGAGTATAGTAGGTGTTCAATTTAGAAAAAAAGATGAATGAATTGTATTGTAACACCATTTTAAAAAGTTGTTAGGTGAGGTATAAACAGGCACTGAGGAGGTAGTGACTGACTGCCTGGAAAAGGTAGCAAGTGCTTTAATAGGGAATGACTTCTGAGCTGAATTTTTGAAGGCTGAAGTTTCTCTACTAGATGAGATAGGCAGAGACATCTTGTAAATGAGGAAGGAAGAGGCAGAGGGAGCAAGAATGAACAAAGGCCCTGAGCATATGGAAGGACACAGGGTGTTTGGAGAGCAGAGGGAAAAGAAATGAGATTGGAGAAAATTAGGAGCCATCTTGTGCCTACTGCCTCTTGCTGAGTTTTGTTCTTCTGAAGACCTTGGAAGGTCACTGGAGGTTTGTAAATTATGAAGTTGTCATGTGCTTTGGGAGGGTGATTGGTGGCAGTAGGAGGATGATCTAGAGTGGGGAACTCTTGGCTTGGAGCATGGTTGGGAGGCTTTCTTTGGTCTGTTGAATGAAAGTGTTGGTAGTGAGGATGGAAAACAGGAAAAGATTTAAAAGTATGATTGACAGAAGGTAACAGCCAAGAGACATTTGACAATAGCCTTCCTTGCCTTCTTTTGCAGAAATGAAATGGGGAGAGTGTTTATTAGTGGTCCCTAAATTAAAATTTATTTTTGTTACTCAAATTTAAGCATTTCTTTGTATAATTGCTTGGATTAGCATGCTGTCATTTTTTAAACTGGGAAATATAGTCATCCATCTTTTATACATGAAAGTAACCTGTATAAAAATTACAAATTGATCTGTCAAATAGGGTTTGGAGTTGAAAATATGGCAACAGCAATGGATGAAGACCTGGAAGAAGAACTAGATGAAAAAGATGAGAAGTCTATGATGTGCCCTCCAGGCATGCACAAATGGAAGCTGGAGCAGTGCATGGTTTGCACTGTCTGTGGAGACTGTACAGGTTATGGAGCCAGCTGTGTCAGTAGTGGACGGCCAGACAGAGTCCCCGGAGGGTAAGAGACAATGATTCCTACTAAAGAACATGTGCAGAACACATTTCTTTGCAAAATCATTCCGGAGTATACTCTACTATTAATATTTTTTTCTTAAAGACCAGTGGCATCTTCACTTGATCTTAGCCAAAAGGCCAAGAAAGTATTATAATTCTTATAATTGTTTTCTGTTATAATAATTTATAATTTAATGTCATCTCTAAGGTTGCCTTTCTTTCATTTGATTCATTTAAACCATTATTTAAAAACAGACCATAAGTTTTTCAAGACTTGGGGCTGTACTTTTATTTGTATTATTTTTCAAAGCCTATTTAATGCTAGATATCTATTATATTTCTTTCTGTTGAACATGAATCTTTTCTAAATAAAATTATCGATATCATAAAGAGTACTTGATTAGATATATAGTTTTGTTTTAAATTAAATGTACCATTTATAAATTTAGAAACGTTGTATGCTTGCTTCTAAAGTTACATCATACCTGCTATATTTATCCTTGTTCTCAATGGACCACATTTTTCAGGGTTCTATATTATTGTCAATTTACAGTTAATATGTAAGTTTGGCAGAATAAGAATGCAGGTTTTCTGCTAGGATGTTAGGAAGAATTTTGAATCTATTTTCTACATTGCTAGTTATAGCCACTATAACATGATGGGATATTCTTTGTGTGATCAGCTTTGTAATAATTGGCTGATTTGGGGGAGTAGAGAAAATTTTGTGAAGAGAAGCCCAGAAGGAAGACAGCCATCCCTGCCTCTTGACCTTCCTCTTTGTCAACTCTGTAATAGTTGCTTCTTCCCAAATATTGTCTGGATCTAATAGGAGTTTATTTCTAAGTTTATATTTGGCCTTTCATAGTTAAATAGGTCATATATAACAGGCCTTTTCTTTAAGGCTGCTGAGATATGATTTTTTTTTTTTTTTTGAGACGGAGTCTCGCTCTGTCGCCCAGGCTGGAGTGCAGTGGCGGGATCTCGGCTCACTGCAAGCTCCGCCTCCCGGGTTCACGCCATTCTCCTGCCTCGACCTCCCAAGTAGCTGGGACTACAGGCGCCCGCCACTACGCCCGGCTAATTTTTTGTATTTTTAGTAGAGACGGGGTTTCACCGTTTTAGCCGGGATGGTCTCGATCTCCTGACCTCGTGATCCGCCCGCCTCGGCCTCCCAAAGTGCTGGGATTACAGGCGTGAGCCACCGCGCCCGGCCATGAACTTTTAAAAACAAATTTTCTTTACATTATTAGTATAAGCAATAAAGTCGTCTTTATCAAAGGATAATATTTATTCTGTAGTGCTTTATGTTTGGCTCTGTTTTCTGTTTTTTAAGCACCTAACTTCTTTATTTTTAAATTTAATTTGGATGCAGAAAGACTCTGATTATTTTTTAACAATGTTGGAATTGAAATTTATTCTCCTGGATCTCTCCAACGCTATTTCCATTAAAATTCAGTGTTAGCTGGGTGTAGTGGCCCATGTCTGTAATCCCAGCACTTTGGGAGGCTGAGGCCAGAGGATCACTTGAGGCCAGGAGTTTGAAACCAGCTTCAGCAGCATAGCAACACCCCTAACTCAAAAAATATATAATAAAAATAAAATTTAATATCCCCACTCTCTGAGCTTAAGCAGCCAGTATATATCGTGAACAAAATCTATAAATTATCTGGTCCCTTTTGAAATTAATTATTCTTCGTTTTTTCCTCCAGAGACTTACATAATTTATAATAATTATTCATAGACTTACATGGACAATACTAACCAAGTATAATAATTGCTTTATGAATGAAGCAAACTGAATATATCAGAATATTAAGGACTATTAAGCTGACTTCAATTATTATAAAATTGTGACTACATATCTTATTATGATAAAGTACATATAAAATTGACCAGCTTAACCATTTTTAAGTAGACAGTTCTGTGGTATTAAATCCATTCATAATGTTGTGCAACTATTACCACCATGCATCTCCATAACTTTTCATCTTGTAAAACTGAGACTCTGTAACTGTTAAACAATGACTCCTCATTCTTCCCTCTCCCCTGCCTCTGGCATCCACTATTCTTGTTTTCTTTCTGTGTCTGATTGACTACTCTAGGTACCTCTCATATAAAGAGAATCAGAGTATTTGTCTTTTTTGTGACTGGCTTATTTCACTTAGCATAATATCCTCAGTTCATCCAGGTTGTCACATATGTCGGAACATCTTTGCTTTTTGAGGCTGAATAATATTCTATTGTATGTATATTACCACATTTTGCTTATCCATTCACTCACTGATGAACACTTTGGTTGCTTCCACATTGTAACTATTGTGAGTAATGCGCTGTGAAGATGAGTGTACAAGGAGCTCTTTGAGACCCTGTTTTCAGTTCTTTTGGGCATATACCCAGAAGTGGAATTGTTGGACTATATGGTAATTTTATTTTTAATCTTTTGAGGAACTGCCATACTATTTTTCACAGCGGCCAACCATTTTACATTCCCACCAATAGTGTACAGATGTTCCAGTTTCTCCACATCCTTCTTAACACTTATGATCTGTTATTTTGGTAGTGGCATCCTAATGGGTGTGAGATAGTATCTCATTATAGTTTTGATTTGAATTTCTCCAGTGATTAGTGATGTTCAGCATCTTTCCATATACTTTTTGGCCATTTGTAGATCTTTGGAGAAATGCTATTCAAGTCCTTTGCTCACTTTTGAATCAGGTTGTCAGTTTCTTTTGTTGTTGTTGATGAGTTTTAGGAATTCTCTATATAGTTTGAATATTAATTCCTTATCAGATATATGATTTGAAAATAAAAAGTTCTGTCTGTGGGTTGTGTTTTTACTCTGTTGATGTTGTCTTTTCAAGCAGAAAATTTTTAAAATTTTCATGAAGTCCAGTTGTCTATTGTTTTTTGGTTATTGTCGCCTGTGCCTTTGGTATCATATCCAAGAAATTATTTCCCAATCTAGTGTTGTGAAGGGTTACTGTTATCTTTTCTTCTTCTTTTTTTTTTTTTGATTATACTTTAAGTTTTAGGGTACATGTGCGCAACGTGCAGGTTAGTTACATATGTATACATGTGCCATGTTGGTGTGCTGCACCCATTAACTCGTTATTTAACATTAGGTATATCTCCTAATGCTATCCCTCCCCGCTTCCCCCACCCCACAACAGGCCCCGGTGTGTGATGTTCCTTTTCTTCTAAGAGTTTTTTGTTTTTTTTTGTAATAGTTTTAGGTCTTACATTTAGGTCTTTGATTCATTTTGAGTTAATTTTTGTATATGCTGCTAGAGAAGTGTCCAGATCAAGTTTTCCCAGCAATGTTTATTGAAATGATTATCCTTTCTCTATTGAACCATCTTGGCTCCTTTGTCAAAAATCATCTGACCATATATGTGAAGGAAGATTTCTCAGCTGTCTATTCTATCCCATTGGTCTGTATGACTGTCTTTATGCCACACCACATTGTTTTGATTACTGTAGATTTGTAGTAAGTTTTGAAGTCAAAACCGAGTACTTTGTTCTTCTTTTTCAAGATTGTTTGGCTATTTGAGGTCCCTAGAGATTTTCTATGAATTTTAGGATAGGTTTTTCTATTTTGTAAAAACCATCATTGGGATTTTGATAGGGATTACAATGAATCTGTAGATTGCTTTGGGTAGTATGAACATCTTAAAAACATTAAGTCTTCTAATCCATGAACATAGATGTGTTTCTACTTATGTCATCTTTAATTTCTTTCAGCAATGTTTTGTAGTTCTCATTTCACCTCATTGGTTAATTACTAAGTGTATTCTTTTTGATGCTATGGAATTGTTTCTGTAATTTCCTTTTCATATTGTTCATTGTTAGTGTCTAGAAATACAACTGATTTTTGTGTGTTGACTTTGTATCTTCCTACTTTGCTGAATTCATTTTCTCTATTGGTTTTTTTGAGTGCAATCTTTAGGGTTTTCTACTTATGAGATTGTATTATCTGTGAACATAGATAATTTTACTTCTTCCTTTCTGCTTTGGATGACCTTTATTTCTTTTCCTGTCCAATTGCCCTGGCTAGAACTTCTAGTGCTGTTTAGGATTGGTCAAAGTGAGCATCCTTGTCTTCTTCCTGATATTACGAGGAAAAGCTTTCAGTCTCTCACCATTATGATGTTCACTGTGTGTTTTTCATATGTGGTTTTTATGTTGAGATCATTTCCTTCTATTCCTAGTTTGTCTACTGTTTTTATTATGAAAGGGCATTGAATTTTGTCAAATGCTTTTTGTACATCAATTGAGATGATCATGTGTTTCTTTTCTTTCATTCTGTTAATGTGTTACATTACATGGATTGATTTTCATTTGTTGCATTCCAGGAGTAAATCCCACTTCGTTATGGTGTATAATTCTTTTAATATCCTGCTGAATTTGTTTTGTTAGTATTTTGTTGAGGATTTTCACATCATTATTCATAAGGGATATTGGTCTGTAGGGGTTTTTTTTTTTGCCTCCCCCTGCCCCTCTCCCTCCTCCCTTTCTTCTCTTTCTCCTTCTCCTTCTTCTTTCTTCTCCTCCTCCTCTTCCTCCTTCTCCTTCTTTTCCTCCTTCTCCTTCTCCTCCTGCTCCTCCTCCTCCTCCTTCTCCTTCTTTTCCTCCTTCTCCTCCTTCTCCTTCTTTTCCTTCTTCCTTCTTCTTCTTTCTTCTCTTCTTTCTTCTTCTTTTTCTTCATCTTTTGTCTGACATTGGTATTGGGGTAATCCTGACCTCAAAGAATGAATTCTTGTTCTCTCCTCTTCAGTTTTTTGGAAAATTTTGAGAATTGGTGTCATAAACACTATTTTAAAAATAGTGTCAGTCAGGCATATTACTGTGTCACAGTTTTTACTGTGTAGTAAGTGATCTTCCAAATTGTTTATAATGCTTGCTTTTAAAAGTGACACATTTCACAGGGTGTCTAGCTATGTCTTTTAAACTGCTGCCAGATATGTTCTTCCTTTTGTACCTTCTGAAATCTGTATAACCTGGGGTTCAACAAGGCTGTCAAAAGTTTCAAGAACTGATCTGATGAACTACATTAAAGCTATACCTTCTACAAAATATGTGACTAAGAAGTTACTTTCCCTGACCCCAAGTCAGTTTCTGGGAGTGTCTTTGTCAACATATACCCCATATGGTTCACAATCGATATGAAAGGGCTGAAGGAGAAAAAGAACAGGTAATTGGACTCTGTGAAAGGAGAGAATGGGAGGTGAAGGCATGTAAAGAAGAGAGGGGGAAGGAGACATATATGTGTTTGTGTGTGTGTATATATATGTGTGTGTGTGTGTATACATATATATATACATATATATGTATTATTTTTTCCTTTCCAATGTGTGAATGTTTTTATTTCCTTTGTGTGTGTGTGTGTGTGTGTGTGTGTGTGTGTGTGTGTTACTTTACGTTCTGGGATACATGTGCAGAACGTGCAGGTTTGTTACATAGGTATACACATGCCATGGTGGTTTGCTGTACCTGTCAACCGGTCATTAGGTATTTCTCCTAATGCTATCCCTCCCCTAGCCCCCACCCCCCAACAGGCCCCAGTATGTGATGTTCCCTTTCCTGTGTCCATGTGTTCTCATTGTTCAACTCCCACTTATGAGTGAGAACATGCAGTGTTTGGTTTTCTGTTCCTGGGTTAGTTTGCTGAGAATGATGGTTTCCAGCCTTCATTCATGTCCCTGCAAAGAACACGAACTCATTCTTTTTTATGGCTGCATAGTATTCCATAGTGAATATGTGCCACATTTTCTTTATCCAACCTATCATTGATGAGCATTTGGGTTGGTTCCAAGTCTTTGCTATTGTGAATAATGATGAAATAAACGTACATGTACATGTGTCTTTGTAGTAGGATGATTTATAATCCTCTGGGTATATACCTAGTAATGGGACTGCTGGGTCAAATGGTATTTCTGATTCTAGATCCTTGAGGAATTACCACACTGCCTTCCACAATGGTTGAACTAATTTACACTCCCACCAACAGTGTAAAAGCGTTCCTATTTCTCCACATCCTCTCCAGAATCTGTTGTGTCCTGACTTTTTAATGATCACCATTGTAACTGGCGTGACATGTTTTCTCATTGTGGTTTTGATTTGCATTTCTCTAATGACCAGTGATGGTGAGCTTTTTTTCGTTTGTTGGCTGCATAAATGTCTTCGTTTGAGAAGTGTCTGTTCTTATCCTTCGCCCACTTTTTGATGGGGTGGTTTGTTTTCTTGTAAATTTAAGTTCTGCTGCATAAATAAATGTCTTCTTGTAAGAAGTGTCTGTTCATATCCTTTGCCCACTTTTTGATGGGGTTGTTTGTTTTCTTGTAAATGTGTTTAAGTTCTTTGTAGATTCTGGATATTAGCCCTTTGTCAGATGAGTAAATTGCAAAAATTTTCTCCCATTCTGTAGGTTGCCTGTTCACTCTGATGATACTTTCTTTTGCTGTGCAGAAGCTCTTTAGTTTAATTAGATCCCATTTGTCAATTTTGGCTTTTGTTGCCATTGCTTTTGGTGTTTTAGTCATGAAGTCTTTGCCCATGCCTGTGTCCTAAATGGTATTACCTAGGTTTTCTTCCAGGGTTTTTATAGTCTTAGGTCTTATGTTTAAATCTTTAATCCATCTTGAATTAATTTTTGTATAAGGTGTAAGGAAGGGGTCCAGTTTCAGTTTTCTGCATATGTCTAGCCAGTTTTCCCAGCACCATTTATTAAATAGGGAATGGGAAGGAGACATATTACATGAAGCTGGCAAGCTTAGGCTCTGTTGCTGAAGGCTACCAACACCTGCCTTCACTTATCTGCTGGACAGCAACATTGTTTGATTGTTTTTAGCCAACCAACCCATCTGGGTCACTTAATCCTAAAGCTTCTGGTGCTTCACTAACTGCAAAAAGACTTTTAAAGGATTGTTTTTAAAGTAGTGACTTTGATGATAGTCGAATCTGTGTGTATTTTCTGTAGAAATATACCAATTATGCCTATTGGGAGTTTAATCAGTCTTGTTTTTAATTATTCTGCTATTTATATCTTTTCTTTAAAATGAACAATCGTGATCTAAAGAGGTGATTTCATTGCTTACTCATTTAACAATTTCAAAAATGTGGAAAATAAGTTATAGAAAAGAGTTTTAAAGACAAATTAGGAATATCTCAGTTGTCTTTTTTTTTTTTTTTTGTATTTCCCCCTAGGATCTGTGGTTGTGGTTCCGGAGAATCTGGTTGTGCTGTGTGTGGATGTTGCAAGGCCTGTGCAAGAGAGTTAGATGGTCAAGAGGCAAGACAAAGAGGAATTCTTGATGCAGTGAAAGAAATGATACCTTTAGATCTTCTTTTAGGTAATTTTGATTGATTATACTATGCTACACTGAGTTGTCCTCAACTCAGTAAGTCTGACAGTTTAAACAATTTCTTTTAGATATATGTTAATAAATTAGGATAATAATTAATGTATGCAATACTGCTTTTACGGTAACTGACAATATGACATTGTTTAAGGGATGAGATTCTTTTTTTTTTTTTTCTTTTTTTGAGATGGAGTCTTGCTCTGTTGCCAAGGCTGGAGTACAGTAGCTCAATCTCAGCTCACTGCAACCTCCGCCTTCTAGGTTCAAGTGATTGTCCCATCTCGGCCTCCCGAGTAGCTGGAATTACAGGTGCCCGCTACCACACCTGGCTAATTTTTGTATTTTTAGTAGAGACGGGGTTTCACCATGTTGGCCAGGCTGGTCTTGAACTCCTGACCTCAGGTGATCTGCCCACCTTGGCCTCCCAAAGTGCTGGGATTACAGGTGTGGGCCACCATGCCTAGCCAGAATGAGATTCTTTTTCCCTTTTTGGCTAAGAATTATTAAAGTAAAAATATTGTGTGTTTTAGACAATGTTTTTGCTAGCTTTTACTTTCTTGAATTTTATGTAGTTCTGTCATAGCTATTATATAACATATATGTTGTTGTTGTTGTTGTTTTTGGCCAATCATCTAGCTGTCCCAGTGCCCGGGGTTAACATTGAAGAACACCTTCAGTTACGACAAGAAGAAAAACGGCAACGTGTAATCAGAAGGCACAGATTAGAGGAAGGAAGAGGTAAGATGTAGCTACAGAGAAAAAGTACATGAAAATCCACTTTCCTACCCTATCCTGAAACCACTGAAAAGTTCACACAATAAACTAATTTGGTAAGAAATCATCAAAATTAAAATTAGCAATATTCTGATAACTCATATAATGGGAAAATATTCAGGGTATTCATGCTTCTTCTAATAACATACGTTTAGGTATTTATAATTGTGCTAATAACATACTTTTAATTCAGCAGGGTGTTTATGGCATAAGTCAGCCATATTAAGAACTGTGCCATCTGCCTACTATCAATAACTATTAGAAATGGCAACTTTTTAAAAATAGATATTCTCACAACTTGTCCTTCACCCGGACTTTGGACTCATCTATTTGACCGTGGAACAAAATTCAATTTAGTCTTTTTCATTTCTATTTTCTTACTCATTTATGCTCATTATCATTTGGACATAGTCCTGCTATGCTGCCCTCCAGTTCAGCACATAACTATGCTTTCATGTGTCCTTTTTTGGAAAAACCTCATTCTAGTTATTTACAGGAAGAGTAAGATGGCAGGTCTGCAGGTTTCATTTGCAAAGATAGGTCTATTGTTTATCTTTTCCTCATTGTTTATGAGCTTAAAAGTTTCTTAGCTTAAAAATACATTTAACTGGCCAGGCACGGTGGCTCACGCCTGTAATCCCAGCACTTTGGGAAGCTGAGGCAGGCAGATCACAAGATCAAGAGATCAAGACCATCCTGGCCAACATGGTGAAACCCCATCACTACTAAAAGTACAAAAAAATTAGCTGGGCGTGGTGGTGTGCGCCTGTAGTCCCAGCTACTCAGGAGACTGAGGCAGGAGAATCACTTGAACCTGGCAGGTGGAGCTTGCAGTGAGCCATGATCGCACCACTGCACTCCAGCCTGGCGACAGAGTGAGACTCCATCTCAAAAGAAAACAAACAAAAAAAATTTAACTGTGGTTATAATTGGTATTTGAATACGCAAAGATAAATATATGTATTACTAAAGATTTCCTTGCTCAGTAAATTTTTTTTTTGTAGGATTAAGACAAATTGTTATGGAAGTCTATGATTTTATTCCTCCAATAGGCAAAATTTTGATTAGAAATGTTTACTGATATTGCATATTTTAAATGCTTATTAGAAATGGCATGATATTTGATGCATGAAATAAACCTTTTACCCATTTAACCATCATTATATTTTTTTCTAGCTATTCTTTTTGTTAATATATGGAATAAGTAGTAAAATGTATAATACACATGGTGAATTCTAGTTTTACTAAACTTAAATTGTAAAACATATACTTGGCACATGAAGAGTGTTCTTCATAGCATCTGATAAGTGATGTTGATTGATAAGGTGAATATTTACTATTGTTTGGCTTTGCTTGCATAATGTCCTTTAAAGGATATTTTAATGAGATTAATATAGATACTGTCAGTATTTACATTATATAAGTATATGGGAAAATTGCATGTTAAATATTTCTTACAAAACAGGATAGAATTAAGTTTCTGATGTGGTAATTAATAATTTTTTATGTTGATATAATTTTTTCAGATTAGTTACCATTCTATCTGTTTGCTACCTGTTTCTTCTTTCTTTAGAAATATTAGGTTGAGCGACATGAATGAACCTACAAAATGCAGCTATTTCTTACATTTAAACTACAGTATAGCACATCCTTACACTTAATTATTCACATTTAATTACTTGCCTAATGCGGTGTATCTTGTTACTCTTTTTCTCTTCCCTCTAAAAAAGCTATTCTTCTCTAGGTATAGTATATTTGTGCATATAGGAAATAAAGGAACATTGAATCGTGCATTGATAACTTGACATAACTTGGTGATTGCAGAATATTCTTTTGCCATTTATTTTTAAATTTGACATAAACCTGTGAAACATAATTGTAAACATTAACCCTTTAAAGTTAAAAAAAAAATCCTCCACTAGCTAAATATTTAAAGAAATTATGTTGTTGTATCTGACTTTCCAAAGATAGATTGAGGTTCTAGGCACTTAGTGTATATTTTGTGACAAATAGGTTTCATCTGCAGTCCTAAATATATAGAACATCAGTAGAAACACTTTGTTCAGATTATTGGTGTACATAAATTTTATCTTGTCCTTATTTTTTGGTAGAACTCTTTCTTAGATCACCCTCCTTCATGTTTGGTAAAACAATATATAGTGAATATCTTTTCTTGAGTGGAATCTTCAGTATGAACCTCAATTATCACAGTCCTTGCTTTCCATGGCACTAAAATTAACAGAAATGTGTGCACATTGGAACCATGTCCTCCCCTTTCACAGTCACCACAGTTACCTAGAATCATGCGAAAGGAGGACAGAGTTCCCGTATTTCTGTGTTTCAGTTAACACAGCACTATGCAAAGTGATGCCTGCTTGTATGTTTTGTTTGTTTGTTTATTTATTTATTTATTTTGAGATGAAGTCTCACTCTGTTGCCCAGGCTGGAGTGCAGCTGCACAATCTTGGCCCACTGCAACCTCTCCCTCCCAGGTTCAAGCGATTCTCCTACATCAGCCTCTTGAGTAGCTGGGACTACAGGTGCCCGCCACCACGCCTGGCTAATTTTTGTATTTTTAGTAGAGGCGAGGTTTCACCATGTTGGCCAGGCTGGTTTCAAACTCCTGACGTCAAATGATCCACCTGCCTCAGCCTCCCAAAGTGTTGGGATTATAGGTGTGAGGCACTGTGCCCAACCTATTTTATTTTAAATGAATATTTTTGCATTTGGACAAGAATTCTAACTATGTATTCATTTTTTAAAAAATCAAACTTCAGAGTCATTCAGTGACTTTGGAAATCCTTATACTGTATTAAGTAATTAAAAATCTATTCTGATATGACACTTTTATGATTTTATCTTTATATTATTCTTAGCACTCCATTAAGCAATTTTTATTTAAAAACAAATTTTTATAAGAAAACAAAATTAGATGAATATGATATACTTACACTTCCATAGAGATAAAACAAGAAAGATAAATACCAAAATATTAACAATGCTTTTTCCTGACAGGTGAGTTTATAGATATTTTTTATTTTCTTCTTTACAATTTGTTTCCTAAATATTCTCCAATAAGCATATTAGTGTATAAATAGAGTAAAAGTTATGTTTTACAACTGAAGCCATTTTAAAAAAATACTGATTAGGTTTAAGGCATCC
Source organism: Homo sapiens (assembly GCF_000001405.40). Lineage (NCBI taxonomy): Eukaryota > Metazoa > Chordata > Mammalia > Primates > Hominidae > Homo > Homo sapiens. Next base: position 77,239,860 of record NC_000013.11, on the reverse strand, counting down.
ATACTTTGCTTACCTTTGCTTTTTAAAAAATATTTTTATTTTAATTGGATGGAGGACTCTCTTTCAGGTGCTGTGCTTTTCATTACTTTCTGGCCATGGTTCTCAAGGTGGTCTCAAAGGGACCAGCATCACTTGGGCACTTGTTAGAAGTACCAGTTCTCAGGCCCCACTTCAGATCTCTACTGAAACAAAAAACTGGGGGAGTACAGCCAGTAAACTGTGCTTTAATAGCGTTCCAGGTGATTCTGATGGTCCCAAAGTGTGAGACTTAGTGTGCTAGGTCAGTTGTTTGCACTTTGCGGTTTGATCCAATGACCTTCTGCATCAGAATCACCTGGGCCTAATGAATCAGAATTTATGGGTCAAGGGTCTTGGAAATAGATCTGAGTCACTTGCACAGTGTTCTAAGGCTCTTCTCTGGCACTGTGCTAGAAAAGATTGTAGTGGCTTTGCTCCCATGAGGAATAGAAACATCAAATAAAATGTTAGTGTTCCGGCTGCCATACATACAGATCTTTTATTTCTTTGGCCTGTTGATACTTTTTAGAAACTAAAAATTTAGTAGTATGTTAATAATTATACTTACTAGTAATTGGCTTTTACCTGTGTTAACATTTCAGAATTTAAGAATTAGGTTATGTTAGATTATTTTACTTGACTTTTCTGTCTCATCTTATTTACCAAGTCTGAACTAAGTTTTTCATAGATGATCAGAACTCTGGGCTCTAGTTCTTTTTTTTTGAGTCACAGTCCCACTCTGTTACCCAGGCTGGAGTGCAGTGGTGCGATCTCGGCTCACTGCAACCTCCGCCTCTCGGTTTCAAGCGATTCTCCTGCCTCGGCCTCCCGAGTAGCTGGGATTATAGGCATGCACCACCACACCTGGCTAATTTTGCATTTTTGTTAGAGATGGGGTTTCACCATGTTGGCCAGGCTGGTCTCAAACTTCTGACCTCAGGTGATCAGCCTCCCAAAGTGCTGGGAGTACAGGTGTGAGCCACTGCGCTCGGCCTGGGCCCTAGTTCTTGTACTAAAGCCTTGCTCAGACAGCTTCAGGCCTATTGACGTAATTTAGTTACTGTTTTATGACACCAGGTCTCTTATAATGGAATGTGTTATTGAAACCCAAGAAAGCAATGATATTACTGCTTCTTCATACATTTGGAACTTTTTAATTTTAAATCTTTGTGTTATTAATAGTCTAGTTAATTTTTTTAATTTATCTTTTTAGGTATTAATAGTATTCATTTATAGATTTTAGTTCAATGGTTTGTGATAACTTGTCTTTTTTAGATTATATTGGGTTGATTGATGTATTAATTTAACTGTGCAAGTGAAGTGCTTATTCAGTGAAATTCTTAAGTAGGGCTCTTGAAGTCATCAGAAGAACTAGTGGATGATCATATCAATGATTTTATCCTTATATTCCTTTTCAGCACTCTGTTTCGTAAGGAAAATTAAACTTCAATAATGTTAGCTTTTTCTTCTTTCTTCTAAGTATCCAAGTTTCATAATTGTGAGCTGTAGATGGGCTAAACCCATGTCCTGGCTTACATGGGAGAGTCCCATTTTATAGGTGTCCAGGCATATTTCTTTTTTTTTTTTTTTTTTTTTTTTTGAGACGGAGTCTCGCTCTGTCGCCCAGGCTGGAGTGCAGTGGTGCTATCTCGGCTCACTGCAAGCTCCGCCTCCTGGGTTCACACCACTCTTCTGCCTCAGCCTCCCGAGTAGCTGGGACTGCAGGCGTTCACCACCACACCGGGCTAATTTTTTGTATTTTTACTAGAGATGGGGTTTCACTTTGTTAGCCAGGATAGCCTCAATCTCCTGACCTTGTAATCCGCCTGCCTTGGCCTCCCAAAGTGCTGGGATTACAGGCGTGAGCCACCGCGTCCGGCATGTTGCTATTACTTTTTAAGCCCTTAAAACCATTATGGTTTTCTTGATTTGACGCATCAAATCCAATATTAGCTGATATTCCAGTGACACATAAAAGTCTCTTTTTAAATTAAAGTATTATATGAAGAATTTAGAGAGTATAAGTAAGAAAAAATAGATCAGCATAACCCTTTATACAAAGAGAACCATTAGTAGAATTTTGGTGTAACTTCTCACACTTTTTTACTTATTTCATATAATTTCATACTGTGATAGATATTGGTGTCCTGTTTGTATTCCCTTTAATATTATATCATGAAATTTTTTTGTGCTTTATTGCAAATACCATATTAAAGTAATATAGGAATTTAGGTCAAGGTTTTGCATAAACCTATTCCTTAATTCAATTATTGTTTTTATTTCGTTGTCATCTTCTAATCAAGTTTTACTTATTTCTAGTTATATCATTGACTGAATTTTGTTTTACATTTTTGCTTAGTGTTATAATACATATATTTTTATGTTTTGCTTGTATTGTACCCCTACCTTCCCATTTCCATCCCCCCCTCAAAGTAAATGTTAATAGTCTAATATCTTACTCTATTAAAATATAATCATGTACAGAGACTTACACATATGTGAAAGTGTAGACATATGTTTATTTACAAAAGTAGTATTCTGTATATACATTTGCAACATCTTTTTCTCATTTTACAATACAAGAAGAACACACTGTAGGTCAGTAAATGTGGATCTACCACATTCTATACAGTAACTACCTAATATCATAATATGGCTATACCATAGTTTATATAACCATTATTTATTGATGGGCATTCAGGTTATTGTAAGTTTTTGTGGGTTTTACTGTAATAAATATTCTTAAACTTAGAGCTACATATTAGTGTTTGTATAGTAGAGCTTTCCCAAAATAGAATGTGTGGGGCAGAGAGTATATATCTGTCTTAAATTTTAACAGATAATTCACATTGTTTTAAAAATGTTATAGGAATTTGTTTATACTCCCTAGACTAATGTATAAGAGTAGTGTTTTCCTCTAGCATCACCTGTATTCATTATTCTTTTATTTATTTATTTATTTATTTATTTTTTGTAGAGGCAGGATCTTGCTATGTTGCCCAGGCTGGCCTCGAACAACTGGGCCCAAGTGACCCTCCTGCCTCAGCCTCCCGAGTAGCTAGGACTGTACAGGCATGTGCCACCACACCTGGGTTTAGTTATTCTTTTTAATTCTTGGAAAACAGTGGTGAACAATGTTATCTCATTGTTAATTTAAATAACACAAAATCATATTCTGTGTAAAATTATTTCATAAATCTCATTTTAATGGCTGCGTATTATTCCATTTAGTAGATGTATTATAGTTTTTAATTACTTTCATTTGGGTATTTTTAAAATGTTGCTATAATGAATAAAGTTGTAGTAAACACCTTTGAGGTGAAATCCTTTAAAAATATTTTAGAGTTTTCTTTAGGATAGATTCCTAGGGTGCAGTTACTAGATCAAAGGATAATAATTTTTATGATCTTGAAATATATCACCAAGAGCTTTCTGAAAGGCTTGTACTATTTAACACTGCCACTTATTCCATGCTTTTTCTGCCTACCTGCCTACAGATGAACTCTGAATTACCCATTGTCTACACATGAGTGTAGCTTCTATCTAAACCTGGTTATCTCATACCCCTATTTTACTCACTCCTCTCCCAATGAAAGAAATAAATCACCAAGTTCTATTTATACAGCCTTCTTAATTCTTTAATAGCTTTTTAATATCTACTTTTCAGAATCTTACTGTTTCCTTAGCTGAGGCTTCTTTTCTTTGCCTATCTGACAGCAAAAAGCCTTTTAACTGGCCTTACCTCCAGTCTTATCTTCTAAGCCATTAGCCACCTTCTTTCCAGAATATTCATTCTGCAATACAGATCAGATCAGTAGCACTTCTCTGTTTAAAACCAAAAGGCTATTCATAGTCCTTAGGATGAAGGATATACTTTTATCTCTACAGCCTCATCTCTCTCTATTCTCATTTCTTTTCCCTTGCCCTTCCTTTTTTTCCCCTACCTCTGAACCTTTATGCTACTTGTTACCTCCTTTATTTGACCTCATCTTATGTGGTGGTTTCTTTTATCTCTACACTGTCTACCTTCCCACCCTCAAGTTTTGTTAGCTTCTCCTCTAGTTTGTGTGCCTCCTTTTGTTATAGCATACTGTCATAATTTCTTGTTTAGTTGTGTGTAAACCCTCCCTCCCCTCATTAGAATGTGAGCTTCTTGAAGCAGAGATTGTATCTTGTTTATCAAGGGTTCCCAGAACTTCACATGGTACCTGTTAGTACCATGATTTGTAGTATATTTTTGTTGACTAATTGAAAGCAGGTTAGGGACTTATCATCTCTAGAATGAAGTTTTGTGGTATAAAAAGGTTTTAATTATCTGTTTTTTTGCATACCTCTCCAAGCAAATTTCCCAAGACTTTTGCTCCATCACATATACTCTGTAAAAGTCAGCTACATGTATTTTTAATGACTATACAATATTGTTTAATATCTTTATGCTTTTATAAAATCCTAATTTATATCCTATTCCTTTTAACTGGAATGCCCTCTCTTCCTTTCCTTTTCTCTTGTTAAACTTTTTGTCATTCTTTGAAACCTTGCTGATTGTCCTGAGTTTATTTAGTATCTTTTCTTACTTCAGGACATAATGTGTATAGATTTCTTTTATAGCATTTATTGTAATATTTCATAGTTTGTGTTTTTATTTCTGTTTTTTTCCCTAGTGGACTGAATTCCAGTGAGACCTGTATCTTTGTCATTATATTCATTTCACCTAGTGTCTGCTAAATAAAAGATAATCAGAAAATTTGGTGAATAAATTAGTGACTCAACTATATTTAAAGAAACATTATTTTAGCCCATGGGATACAATAGTATTTTCGAGCCCAATTGCTTTAATTTTTAGACATGATTGCCCCCGTGCCTTCTTGATTTATAAATCAAAAGATTCTAAAAAGATTGAATTTAGCAAGACATTAAACGGGTGTGGGTGTGATGTATTTTCATGAGGAGAAACAATATTGTAGGCAGACCATAGAAATCAGAAAATGGTAATATAACAATATTATTACCTTAATATCTATAACTTTTTTATATAGTTGGAAAATACTTTTTATAGTAATTTATATATCTGCTTTGTAACAATTGAGAAATCATGCATGTTAAGAAAATAAGGCATTTTGTTCATATTTGTTCATATTTGAAATATCAATTTTATTACATTTTAGAAATGGAACTCAGTTTACATAACCTTAGCCTGAGAAAATAATTGGTACTGCATTATTGAGAACTTATTCTTCTGTTAACATTAAATTAGCATGTTTCTATCTGTAGTAGTCATAGAATATGTTATTCATGGTTTTTCATACAATTTGAGGTATTTGCATTTTTGTTTATATCTAGAAACATAATTGAAATATGGTTCCTTTACCCACTTGTACATTTAATGAAGGGTACTTTGATATTTAATTTGACATTTATGAAATTTTATTAGAGGGCAGTAGGCTCAATTTGTCCCATCATTAGAAAAATTAAACTGAAGATCAATAGAGAATCATGAAAAAACTTGTTTTAAATAAAAATGTTCAGTGCTTATATAGTGTCATAATTCCTGTTTCAGTTAATGGTAACCTGTCAAATTTAGAGTGTTTTCAAATTTGAAGACATTTTTGATGTTGTTAAAACTCAAGGAAACTATAGTTCTGCTGTATAAGAAAAAAACCTAAAATTTTAAGTTGTAACTAAAATTTATTTTTCTTTTCAAGGTAAATAAATGTTAATGGGAAAAATGATTTATTTTATTTTATTAAAATAAATTTGGCTGTATATTTTTTCCTTAAATACCATATAAGTGGAAAGAGCTATAATCTGTGTGGGTATGTATTTATATATGTATATATATATGTACATAGTGGCACTTTAGAAGAAATGATTTAATGAAAGATGTTTCCAAAATGTTATTTGGGTTAGGTGCCCCCTTTACCATCAATATAAAGCCCAAGCTCCTTTCTCTCTCTCTCTCTCTCTCGTTCTCTCTCTCTCTCTGTGTGTATACATATATCTATATGCAGAATATAGACATTTTTGTTTTGTTTTTGATCATCTGGTTTTCTTAACCTCTATTTATGATTTGTAGTAAACTCGGTAACATTTTTATTTTGGTTTTGTAGCAAGATTAATACAAATATTAAACCTGGAAGAGCTTGTTAAAACTTAATGGTTAATTTAAAAATTAGTTTTTATGTTTCAATGGAAAAGATATCTGTCTTCAACGAATACATGGTTTACTGACTTTGAATATATATGATATTAAAAAAGTATTTGTAAGATAATTTGATTGATTTAAATTGAACTTCTTGATTATCTATTTGAGACTATTAGTAACTACACAATAATTTTATGAGTATACAAGACGGGTTTTGTACTTTATAAATTATATTTAAGATATTAACTTTTATGTGAAATGGTGATTAGGTTATGGGTGGGGGTGGGGGGCTGGAGTGGGGAAATTGGAAGAAAAGTATAATGTCCAAAACCGTTAAGAATAAATTTTTATGCTTTTTAGTTTGAATTATTTTTTGTTCATTATAGTGTTTTCATTTTGTGAGTTTTTCTATGCACATACAAAATGTTTCTCCTCAGGCCCCCTTGTATTTGCTGGTCCTATTTTTATGAACCATCGAGAACAGGCTCTAGCCAGACTCAGATCCCATCCAGCACAGCTAAAGCATAAACGGGACAAGCACAAAGGTATTTGGTCTTCCTTATCACCTAGGTGGGATACTTTCCCAATTTCTTCCACTCATTTGAATTTTGTCTCTGGGAAAATGCACAAACCTGATTCTTCTACTTTGCTTCTATCATGATGTAGCCTGAGGAGAAAGAACATTCTGAAAGTGATACCGTTTGTCAGTGACTGTCATGCTTCTTGTTTTTTTGTTGTCGTTAGCTTTCATAAAGGAGATATTTTACAATATATCTTTTCCTTGTCCATTTCTTTTCAAATTTCAAAAAGTTAAGGGAAGGTGGAAAAAATAATTATTGCTTTCTGTCTTACATCCTTTATTATTTGCTCTTTAATGACTGTGATCTGGCCTTTTACAATTCTTTTTTGAATGCTGTTTATATGCTTTAGGATAAACAATATTACTAAATTCAGTATATTAAATGATGATAATAAGACTGCCATTACACTTTTCCACTGTTTATTAATTAAGTTTATATAAACAACAAATGAATATACAAATATTTGATGGTTGTGGGTTAAGTAGAGATAAGTGCAAGCAAAGCACGAATCATGAAGACTTTCTCTAGTCCCTGGTGATGGTCAGAGGGCTATCCTAGTCTGTGAGGAAGTAGGAATCTAGCTCGGTGTTGTCCTTTGAGATCTCAGAGTTCTGGGTTAATTAAATATATTCTTAAAGCATGCTTATTTTCTTGTAAACCACAAATTATGGGTCAGCTAAGATCAGGAAAGAATTTAATACAAGGAATTTATAAATTTATATAAAATTTTTGCCTTGTATCCTGGCCTTTGAACCAGTGTTCTTCCTTAGCTAGCACAACTTAAAACTCCCATTTTCTTAAATGCCTAAGATAGGTCCTGCAAAATAGAATAGGAAGTTTTAAAAACATGCTTTCCATGTAGACAAATTAATCTAATTAATGTTTGGATCCTTTTCTTTTTTTTGCTGCAAAATTGTCATAGTCTAATTTAAAAAAATTTCATAGGCAATATAGTATAATCCACTTTATTTTTATTTGCCTCTTTCAGTCTGTCAGTTTGCCACTCAAAACAAAAACATAAACAAAATAGACAAAACTCATCTTTAGTAAAGGTGTAAATAGAGCACAACTTAAGATATACTCTGCAGAAATAAAAATAGTGTTTTAAATCTAATGCAATTAACCACAGTAAAATTTGTGATTACTTTATTTACTGAGTGCTCTAACAATGCCATAAATATTTAAGGAATTTTCAACCTAAGACAGCTGATTCCAAAAAGAAAAGATACATATATAAGGAATAATATTTGGGGTATGCAATGAAATTGTTATTTGCCAGAATGTCTGATCTTTTATGATTTCTACTATGTCACAATTAGAACAGATTTTTTCAGTTTCTTTCTTCCCCCAAATATATGAAAGTGAAGTTTTCCCAATAGTTTAACTGAGGTTAAATATTCACATTTCATGAAACAGTTTAAAACCTTTTCAGCTCCATGTTAGTATCTCATGGACAAGTATCTTTACCCTTTCCAGATTTTTAAATGAAACGTTAAATGAAAACCAAGGTTACATATTTAAAGCAAACTTTTCCCAATGTCACATAATGATTGGCTATAGAAATTATTCAGTGAGGCTGGGCGCAGTGGCACATGCCTGTAATTGCAGCACTTTGGAAGGCTGAGGGGGTGGATCACTTGAGGTCAGGAGTTCGAGGCCAGCCTGGCTAACATGGCGAAACCTCATCTCTACTAAAAATACAAATAATAATGATAACAATAATAAGCCCAGTGTGGTGGCACATGCCTGTAATCCCAGGTACTCAGGAAGCTGAGGCATGAGAACAATAATCACTTGAGCCTGGGAGGCAGAGGTTGCAGTGAAAAAACAAGTTATTCAATGATAGCTAGTCTTCAAGTTTGCTTGTCATGGGGTTACTTTATAACAAGTTTCTTTGTATACTTGTAACCACTCTGTAAGGACCTACTTTGTAATATCACAGTGTAGGACCAGTTTTATTGGATTTTAGGGTTTTATAGAGTGAGATAGTTTTATCTTTTTACTCCCCAAATACATTTACAATGCAAATAATAATTTATCAATTGGTACCCTATTTTTTTGTGAAGAGTATTAATTTACTGCTCACTAATTTCCCTCCAGCCACTAACCATTTACACTCACTGTCTTGTCATTTAATTATCTCTCCATTCACTGCTTTTACTTTTACGACATGTTGAACATCCCTAATTTGAAAATTCGAAATGCTCCAAGATCTGAAACTTTTTGAGCACCAACATGAAGCCCCCAAGTGGGAAATTCCACACCTGACCTCCTGTGACAGGTTGCAGTCCCAGCACACAGCTTATTCAGTGTCCTAAAGTGAAAGCAATCCTCTCAGCCCTCTTCAGCTATGATAAAGCTTTTCCATGCACAGCATGATGGTGACGCCAATCACAGTTTGTCTACGTGGGTGGCTGGGTGGCTGAGGTACCTTTGCTTTCTGATAGTGCAGGGATACAAATTTTCATGCACCAAATTATTTAAAATATTGCATAAAATTATCTTTCGGCTATGTGAGTAATTTGTATATGAAATATCAATGAATTTCATGTTTAGACTTGGGTCCCATCCCCAAGATATCTCATAATGTATATGCAAATATTCCAAAATTTGAACAAACTCCAAAATCCAAAACACTTCTGGTCCCAAGCATTTCAAATAAGGGATGCTCAACCTGTACATATTTTCAGTCTTTTAATAAGTATTTTTTCTACATATATTTTTCTCTTCACCTTACCCAGTTTATCTTCTAGTTTATCTACTGAGAAGTTTATGGTATTGATTGCTATGTTCTATCCTACATTTAATTATGTTGGTACAAATTATAGGATGGTAATAGTTAAAATTTTTTAGACTGTGACTTTTTTGTGAGGGTGTAAGGAGAGTAAGAACTGTGGATTTATTGTTAACAGGACTAAGTTCTAAGATGGAAAGTTGGAGAACTTCTGGGTGATTGGAGAAAATTCAGAGAAGGTCAGAATTCATCCTATACAGGCAGATATTGACTAAAGGCAAAGCAGAGTATATAGACTGAATCAATAAGTAAAATTCCATATAAAATACAGTAAATTATTCTAAAATGTGCCTATAAACTATATTCGAAACAGAATTAACATTTGTTTCAGCTATTCAGTACCTTACACAGAAAAATGTGTTAATAGTGTACATAGTTAGGAACATCTGAATTGTTCTAGAGATAGTCCTAAAATCTATTTTAAAATGACTGATTTGAAAATCTGAAGGCACACTGATAAACATCTGAGTCTATTTTACTCTTACTTTCTGTTTGGAAATGGTGCAGTGTGATGAAAATATTATAGCCTTTGGAATTAGGCTTCAATTTTATTTCTGAATTTGTCATTTACTAGAACTACATGGCTGTGCAAAATGTCTTAATCTCTTTGGCTTCAGTTTTCTTATTTTAAAAACAAGAATAGTAATTCTTAACTGATTGTGTTGCTATGAAGATTAAAATATATGTGTGTAGTCTTTGCACACCCACATATGTAGTCTTTGCACATATAAATCCTCCATGAATACTAGCTTTAATATTTTGAATTGAATTATTTGTTTTCTCTTTCAGAATTATCTTAAAGGTACAATATTTGAGATTTATTAAATGCATAGTTTATTTTTACAAAGGATTTAAGGTTTCAACCATTTGGTGGTGGTAAAATGCATGAGCCTTATTTATGATTAAACTCTAAATTTGTCCTACCATTTATGATTTTGGGCTGGTTACTTAACCCCTTAACCCTTCAAGCCTTAGTTTTTTCATCTGTAAGATGGACAAAGAATACCTATATTATCAGATTGCTTTATTCATTAAAGAAAGTAACAATAGTAAATATTGATTGAGCACTTTTCATATTTTATTTAATTCTCATAGGAACCTGATGAGTTACATATCATTGTTGCTATATTATAGATAGGAAAGCTAGGACCAGAAGGTCCAGTGTCCAGTTGTCATACAACTAGCAAATGAGAAGAGCCAAGATTCCAGTCCAAGTTCTTAAGTTCCAGTACTCCCAAGCACTCATCCACTGTGGTATTTAATTGTTTACAGTGTTCAGTTAGCACACAGCAAGTGCTTAGTAAATTGCAACTACTTTTGTCCTTGCTGATTTGTTTTAATGATTTTGCTCCAAGTACTCACTGTGTTCTGTGGTAGTTTCTGTTATATGCATGACTGTAGGATTACCCTCCAAAAGTATAGATTTTAGTAAAAATTAAAATTAGAAGTTAGAGTCCCTTAGATACTGAACCCTCTTTTTTCTCTGTGTATACAAATATGTGTATATAATTATATATAATGTGTACATACATATAATATTTTAGTTACATAGTTGCCAAGGCTTTGTAGCTACTGTAGTTTCAGTGTTACATGGTATACACACACACACACACACACACACACACACACACACAACATATTCATCTTAGGGAAAATACAGATGTGCTCATACTTAAATGGCCAATTATAAGATTATTCACATCTGTCAATTTTTTATTGACAATGTTTAATTTTTTATATAGATCTAAGCTTTGGTCTTATTGCTGCTCATTAACACTTTACTGAATAATGAGCTTGAACAGATTTTTTTTTTTTTTTTGAGACAGGGTCTCACTCTATCACCTAGGCTGGAGTGCAATGGCATGATCACGGCTCACTGCAGCCTTGACCTCCCGGGCTCAGGTGATTCTCCCACCTCAGCCACCCAAGTAGCTGGGACTGCAGGTATTCACCACCACACCCAGCTAGTTTTTTGTATTTTTAGTAGAGACAGGGTTTTACCATGTTGCCCAGGCTGGTCTTGAGCTCCTAGGCTCAAGTAATCTGCCTTTCTCAGCCTCCCAAAGCCCTGAGATTACAGGTGTGAACCACCATGCCCAGCTTGAGCAGAATTAATCTTGCTGAATTCACTTGCTGGTTCTTGAATTTGGACTAAATTTTTGGCCACTTATTAAGTGCCTTTTTTCTTTGATAAACTTTGGTTAATGTCTGAGTTATAGGAATTATACTCAATTTTTTGATATCAAATACCATATACAGATATATATATAAAATATATATTTTAATTCTGCCACTGCTGCTGATAAAGATTAAGACCCTCATCTCAATTTTTTTACTTGTAAGATTTTCACTGTCTATAATAATTGAGAAGTTGTTTTGTACAGTTACAGTTTGTTTCAATGAACAAAATGTTTCTAGTATTATTTTGACCTCTAAATAACAGCTGCTACTTTTTTAGTCATTGTGGTTGTATTCACTAAATTACCAACCTTTAAAAATAATCTCCTTCCTTGATGCTATGTCTCTATTGTGGGATTTATGCCTATATTTAATCTCCTACTCAAGGGAGGAGACAAAATGCTAAATTCAAAGGTAAAACCTTATAACTAGGCATCAATACATTTATATAAAGTGGAATGATACTTGAAATGTTTAATTAAGTCTGGCAGAATCATATGAACACAATGTATTTTCTATGTTAAATCTCATTTGGTTTTAATAATTAGACATTTTTACCAATTGAGATAAAGCCGTAAAATTTCTTTACATCTGGCGTCTTATTAAATAGCCTTTGGAAGATATGTATTTGTGTGTGTGTGTGTGTGTGTGTGTGTGTGTGTGTGTATGTGTGTGTGTGTGTGTAGGCTTTTGCATATATTTTACCATTCCACTATCTTTCCAACATGAGGAGGCTTTGAACTGAGTATATTTTATTTTGGATGGAGTGAAACTAAATGTTGTTGGTTTTTTTTTTTTTTTTTTAGTCCATCCATTCTTTGATTTAATTTGGCAAACCCACATTAGATAATTTAGCAGAAGAGGAATTATATCTTCATCCTATTATAGTAAAACCTCTCACTAATTCTGAATTTATGATATTTGAGATGCAGTATTTGTGATCTTTTTTGAGTAAAAAATTCAAAATAATTTCTTCCTCTGAATTTTCAGGGTCATACTTATAAGGGGAAACCTGTCTAAAATCACTAGCTTTTCAAACCAAGGGCTCAAGAAATGAAGGATTCCTTCAACGTGCCTTCAGCCTCTGGGTCCAGCAGTTAATTCTTGTATGTTAAAGGACTTTTATGTTTATGGTACATTTTAAATGTAATATTGGCCTATTTTGAAATATAATGTAGGTAACCACACTCTATTTATTGTAGCATTTAGTTTAATCTGTAATCTGTACTGCTTGAAGGTAACAAAACTGAATTTTTACTTCAGTGTTCTGTATGATTAAGACGTTTCCAGTAAGCCACACAGGCCTACCTGTTCTATGTTATTCCGAATTAGTGAGGTTTTACTGTCCTAGTGTCGTAAAGAGTTTCAGTCTTCTTGAAATTATAGGCATTTAGTTACGGAAAGGAAAGTAATAATGTAGGTAGATTTTGTCTCACCTGGATGTTACTAAAGGTTAGGTAAAAAAAGAATAAACACAAAATGATTTAATATTATTCTGTTTAACATTCTAAAATGCACAATGAAAATACAGGATAGAAAGTGTGTGTCTGTAGATTCACATATGTATCTTCATATAATACACACTTGTTTAGAGTTGCTATACCACTTGAGAGTGGTTTAGACTAGTTGAACTTGTGAAATTCCTTCCAGATTTACATTTATTCTGTGTACAAGGAATTTGAATCTTGATGATATAAAGGTCATATGTTAGTGATGTATAGAAGTACATTGTGATTAGAAAAAGTAAGTTGTTGTTATTTACACATTCCAAACAAAAATTTTTATATTCTGGAATGTGGTTTTTGATGCTATGGTTAGATTGTTGGAAAATTCAAAGTTGGATTGCAAAAGCCAAGGGTAAAGAAAAGGCTTAAAGCAAGCTCAATGAAGGAAATTGTGAGAAGGGAGGAGGAAAGAAGGAGTGAAAGCAGAAAAAAGGTTTGGTTGAGGGTAGTGATTGGGGACAGGGAGAAAACCACAAAGCAATATGGCTGAAGGTGATGGTGGCACAGGAAACATGAATAAGAATAGGCCATTGAACTGCAATATATTGAATAAAGCTCTTTGGTCTTTATACATTTTGAAAAGTTCAGTTGAGTTTCAAAATACTTATGGGCAGTGTAGCCTTTCTAAGATCTATTTAGGAAATCTAAGTCACTTGTGAATCCATTAGCAATTTTTTAAAAATGGCTAGTACTAACAATATCACTAAGTTTAAAATAATTGTTAAATGACTTTGCATGCAGTAATTTTTTATGGAAACTAAATTTTCCCATATAAACTGTTACATTTTAAATTTTGTTATTTCTATAACTTAATGACCCGTTTATTACATAAGGTTTTATCCATAACCAGATCTTATCTCTGTTTTTATTAATTTAGTGATATTTGCAAATGGAAGTATATAGTCTATCTTTTCAAAATTCCTTCTTTGCAGGTAGATTCTTGATCTATCACTTCTAACAGCTACAGATTCTTCTTGCTTGTTCCTTTTAACATTTTTCTCTTGTTCTTCCATAATAAACTGATTTAAATTTTTATTTTGAAGATGAATAATGGCTTAATCATAATTCACAAATTATAACACTTGCAGATGGAAGTGGAGAAAGAGGCGAAAAGGATGCAAGCAAAATCACAACATACCCTCCAGGCTCTGTGCGATTTGACTGTGAGCTCCGGGCAGTCCAAGTCAGCTGTGGATTTCACCATTCAGGTAGCGGCTGGAACTTTAGGGTATAACTGCGTTTTTACAATTGTGCTCAGTAACTTATTTCTTCAGATTTGATGAACATAGCCTGTTAACTGTGTGTTAAAAGCTGTAGCGTGGCAGTCTCTCAAATCTGTAAGACCTTTGTATTTATTACAGAATCTCTTTAAACAACTATGGCATGATGGAACAGGTACTTGTCTAGAGATCTAACTTCTAGTCTGTCTTCCTGTGGACTTCTTTTATAATTCAAGACAGTCTGGAAGATGAAATAATCCTTTAAATCTCTTTCAGTTCTAGAATGCTGTGGTTTTTGTAACATGTTCCCATATTTTGTTAATGTTCAGTGATAAATGTATGTCAACAAATTTACTTTCTTAAAATGTAGAAAATAATTAAATTCTTAGTAAATTATTGGCATTTGGGTTAGCTTTTGCTGTACTGTTCAACCTTTATAAAAACAAAAATGTTAAATTCCTTCCTTGAAGATTATTTGATAAGGTATTAACAGACATTAAAGTTCTGCTGTTTCATTGATGTTGTACGTAATTGTGCAGACCTCCTATCCTAGATAGGAGAGAACAATATTTTATATGTAGTTACTCATTATTAAGAAGATTTTACAGTTGACCTGAACCAGTGTGTTAATAAGAATTAATGTTATTAAATGGCATTTATACGAATTTTTAAGTGTGTATTATGAAAAAATTATACATTTATATGACCTACAAAAATATTTTTCAGAACTAAAATTAATTTCTCATTAAATACAAATTTGTCCTTCAGTTACCTATTTTTAATGGTTCTATAAATCTTAAATAGTGAAAATTACACTGCTTTTAGTATAGTTGTGATAGAAATGTAAAATGCATATAATGAAAAAATAAAGCTGTGTGTTTTGGTTGCAGTGGTTTTAATGGAAAATGGAGATGTCTATACATTTGGTTATGGGCAGCATGGGCAGCTAGGACATGGAGATGTCAACTCCAGGTACTTGCTAACTTTTCATTTGAAGATCCAGAGTTATTTTTTCTTCTGTTTTCTTTTCCTTCTTTTTTCTTTCTTTTCTCTTTTTAAGTATATATTTCTAGAATTAAAATAATATTATACCACTGCTTTGCAAAGTGTGGCCCATGAATTATTGGTGGTTTCTGATCTTATGGTTGAGTGCTTTTGTAGAGATAAAGGATTTTGTAGTTTCAGGAGAAAAGCTGATATATATTTTAAATAGGAGAGTGATTATGATTGTCACAAAATATCACTATATTCTTAGCAATTATCTTTTTAAAGGCTGTGCATGGCAATAGAAAAATAGTGAATTGTATTTTTAAAAAATGTCAGCAATGGATTCAAACATATTCCTGATGTCTGTTTTGAAATTTTGGTCTAATAACATGCAGTCATTGAAGCTTTTGAATAATTTTTGGACAGAACCTATTGGTCTCTCTGATTAACTCTTTTGACTTATTGCAAATAGTAGTAGAGAGACTGGTGGTAATTTCCTAATATCCCTACTTCATTTGTTTTAGTTTTAGTTTTAGTTCGTGACATGATCGTGCAGCTAAAGATTCCCTTTCTCAGCTTCCATTGCAGCAGGATGTGGCCATGTGAACTTAAGTGATAGGTGCCACTTTGGAATCTTGCTGTTAAAGGGAAAGGGTGTACCTTTCCATTTGTCCTTCTCTCTTCCCAGCTTGCTGGCTGGAATGAATATGTGGAAGCAGAAACTAAAGAAGTCATCACAGAGATAAGTTGGAGACTGTGTACTGAGAATGGCAGAATCATAAGATGGGAATAGGCTGGGTCTCTGACACCATGAACTGCCTCATCAGCTTCTTAAATTGCATGCTTCTTGCGTGAGAAATAAACTTGTATCTTGAAGTCCCTCTTACTTGTCTTTCATTACAGCAGCCGAGTTTGTATTCTACGTAATGCAGTCAGAATACTTTTGGTCAAAAGTAATAGAAAATCCATCTTTATTAGTTCAGGTCTTCCAGAAAGCAGATGCCAAGACAGGATTAGATATGCAAAGAATTTATTAGATACATGTAGTTTTGACCCTATGAAAGGAGAAAGAGAAGGAAGAATCGGGTAGGAGTCTAGGTTCCAGCATAACATTAAGAGAGTTTTAGCCAGGCCAGTGATGTGTCCCCAAGCTGAGGATACCTTTGGAAGGGTCCTGCATTGGGCAGGAATAGACCAACATTCATACCTTCACCATGTTCAGTCACAGCTGGTAGCACCCCAGGGGACGAATGTCCTCGTGCATCCAAAGGGACAGCACCTGAGGCTGTTATAATAGTTAACTCTGCTCTCTGTAGCAGATTGTCTTGAAGGAGATCTGAGTGGTCTGTGTCTGTGGTTGTCTCACCATGGAAACAGGAGTATTTATGAAGTCTGGAAAGATAGAGAGCAGCTTCAAGCCAGACTTCACTCAGCAATTCACTTAGCTGCAAAAACTTACCTTTTGACCTTCTACTCTGCCTTATTCTTCCTCGCAGTCACAGTGTATATGCCAGAATCAAGGGGACTTCTATGGTTTCTCCTTTACATACAGTGAAAGAAAGAGAACTTACCTTCACATAGTCATTAAATAAAATTCAAGGTTGTCACTGTGTCTTGAACTCACTCTACTATTGTGGCAGGGATGGAATTCTGCCATTTACATGGTAAAGATTAGTGATTCTTAACCCTGGCTGTATATTAGAATTACTTAGGGAATTTGAAAAAATATCATATGTGGATTCTACATCCAGCATTTCTGAGAGATGTGTGTGTTGAAAGGCTTGTGGGTGGGACAGGGGTGGGGAGTGGTCCTTGATAGGATGCCAGCATCAGAGTTTTTTCTAAAAGGTCCCCAGATTCTATATGTATCCAGGATGAGAACCACTCTCTACCCTTCGAGCTGAGGCAGGGTCAGATCTGTGGGCACTGCATAAAAAATGGCAACAAAAGGGAATGTCCTGAGTTATGTTTATGAATGTTGTTGCTAATGATAAGAGACGATTGAGATATCATTGAGTTGAACTTCTTATTAAAAACACAACTGAAACATAAAATTGATACTACTATCAAGAGGTTTGTAAAACTATCACAATCATAAATATTTAATGACTAATATCATACTTGCAAAGAGCAAAAGATGTGTTTGGCAGAATTACTTTATCAGATGTGTCTGCTGGATATGACATAATACCAACAGTGTTGAGCAATTACTGTCACAGGTGTTAGATGCCAACTGATATTTTGCTTTGCAATTGAGTAACATTACTGAAATGCAGAGGCTGAATCTGGGTAGTAATTACAGTTGGCCCTCTGTACCTGTGGGTTCTGCATCTGTGGATTCAATCAATCTTGACAGAAAACATAGTTAGGCCTACGATAATTGCATCTGTACTGCACATGTACAGATGTTTTTGTCTTGTTATTATTTCCTAAACAACAGAGTATAACAACTATTAACATGGTGTTTACATTGTATTAGGTATTATAAGTAATCTAGAGATGTTTTAAAGTATACAGGAGGATGTGTAGTTTATGTACAAATACTATGCCAATTTATATAAGGGATTTGAGCATCCCTAGAGTTTGGTAGCTGCAGGGGATCCTGGAACCAATTCCCCATGGATGCTGAGGGATGACTATAACCTGTGTGGGGAAGAACGTGGCAACTTTTTGTTCTGTTTCTCATTTGAGAGTTGGGACACAGAAGAAGAGGGTTTATTTGTATCATCGTGGCTATTGTTGTTGTTATTTAGCTGGTGGTTATTTTGTGAGCCATAGAAACTGGGAAAGGTGCATTGCAGTTAGATAAGATGGGGTCTCAGTCATGTATGCAGCAAAGAGGGCACTTCACAGAAAATAATTGGCAAATAGTATTTCATGGTCTTGCCAGAGTGGAAAGGGAAGTAGTGAAAAGCATGGCCATGTTATAGTCAGGTTATGTTATCTTACTGTGCACTTGGCACTCAGAAGAATGAGCAGCATGAGCACAACATCCTTCCACACCACACTGAGGTGTGTTGGCCGCTGAGAGGGAAGGTGTTCATGTCAGCTTTTAAAATGAAGAGATTACCTAAAAACATTACTTCGTGGTCCTGATTATACCAGTGAACACCATTCTTCGATTCCCAAGTCTGAAGAGATATAGGGCAGTTTCAGGCCAGACTTCCTCAGGTAATAATATTGTAGCAATATGCTCAATATTTTAAATTGCTTGAATTTATCGTCTTCATGAAATACGATAGCATTTAATGTTGAAACAAAATATCAGGGTTTCTTATGAAGATTAAACATTGGTAGGATCTACACAGTGGTATAGTAACTGGTAGATGCTACATAGTCATCGAACCTGGAACTGTAGAGGCAAGGTTCAGCTCTTCACTTCTTACCAACCATATGACTATAATTTCTTAAGATTAAACACTGGTGGGATTTGTTTTAACTGCCCAAAGTTGTTCTTTTCCAGCATGGAATGTTTTGGTCCTTGTTCCATTGAGTGGTAACTGAAAGACTGATTACATGAAGTGTGGGCAGAGCTACAACGGATAATGCAGTAGTCATACCTATATACTGTGCCTAGTGGATTAGATATTCATCAAGACCGCTTCAGTCTTAAGCACTCAGTTACCCTGTCTGTCTGGACTTTTGTGGAACTTGGAAAGTAGCAACCAAGAACTCTGTTATTAATTCAGAAAGGAGTTGATTATGTCTATAGAGGAACAATCTTGGGAGGAACAAAGCTTCTATAGCATATGTATTAACTACAACAAAGCAAAACATTTACAGATAGTTGAAATAAAGGGTTACAGTTGGAGAATATGTTTGAAAAGTCTCTAGTAATCAAGAGCTGTTAACTGGAATTTACTATATAGCACACATTAATAATGTGTTGTTTAAGATCAATATTGTGGTATGCATGATAATGAAGATGGAAAAGTGTTATTGATATTCTCTTTATTTAATGTGTTATATTGCCAGAATGACTGAGTTCAGTCTCTAGGTTGGGTCCTGATTCTGTCACTTGGTAGCTATATGATCTTGGCCAGGTTACTTAATCTTCTTGTGTCTCAGTTTCTCAAGTTTAAATATCCATAATCTGATGATACTTTCTTCTTCTGTGATGCAGCCCTACTTTATTTCCCTTTGACTTTATGCCCCACAGCCCTCTACTTTTTTACTCTTTTTTCACCCTTTTTTTAACTTTATTTCCTACTCAAGTTAAAGACTGTTGCTTAATTTCTTCACCTATACTCTTACCAGTTTCTTCAGTTTTCCCACTCTCTTGGTCGTGGTGCTAGGACATGATAAAACCGCAAACATGAATCAATCTTAATATTTCCTATGCCTATACTTAGGCTTCTGGAAGGTAAGAAATCACCATACCTATGCAGATTGATACTTAATTTCCAGATTCAACCAGTTCCTGTACAATGGTCATTAATCCTCCTGTTGTGTAGTATTGAACTATTTGACTTAATACCTTTTGAGAGTTTGATGAAAGACATGGGGTCTCTATGAAAAATACAAGAATATACACTTAAAAATTTGCTTGCAAATTTAGGAGATCTTTTGAAGCTCACTCATGGACTTCCTAGAAGTCCTTTATATCTGAGTTGAAAACTCCTGCTCTCGGTATGTATCTATTCCATCTACCACCACACCTTTTCTCGAATCTTCAAACTCTCCACTCACCTGTTTCCTCCTTTTAGCATAGGATCTCCATGTACATTGCAACAGATGTAAGAAATTATTCAGCCCACCAACCCTGCAAACCTACTTCCATCCATACCACTTCTCTGCTTCTTTCCTCATGTTACAGTTAAAGAGGAACCTGTTGTGTCCTTGCTATGAAACCTAGCTGTCTTTTCCTTAGAGATCTATTTCTGTTTCCTGTCTTCTCTCTAACCTTTGTCTTTAGCGTCTTTATTTTGAGTCACCTTTTAAACTTCCTCAAATCTCTTATCATTAAAAAAAAAAAATCCTCTCCTTCAGCTTCATTTTTCCTTTAGCTGCTGGCTCTCCTTTCTTTTTCCCTTTAGTGCTGGGATACTTAGAGCTACTTTGTGTATTCTCTGACTCCTTATCTGCTGCATTGTGGTGCCTGCTTCCACCAAAGAGACCTCCTTCTGCTAAATCGAGTGGTTAGGTGTATGTCTCCTTAGAGCATTTGGCATGTACTTTATTTTCCACGCTTGAAACCTACTCCTCCAATGAGTCTCCTTGAGTTCTTTCTTTCTGTGTGGTTTATTCTAGATGTCTGTGAGCTGTTCTTCCTCGGTCTGTATCTAAAATGTTAGAAGAGACTCATAAGGGAAATTAGGATCTCTTCTTTTCTCTCTCAAAGAGTCTTCCTAGATCTCATTCATTCTCATAGCTTAAGTGAATATTACCACTATCTACTCTGTTGCTTAAGCAAAAAAAATCTTCCTTGCCCCATATCGATCATCTGCCAAGTTTCATCAATTCTGTTCCTTACATAGCTATCAAAGTCACCATCTCTTTCACTCTGCACTGCTCCTAGTTAAGGCCTTCATCATAAATTACCCAAACTACTATATAATTTTTAAAATTTAAAGTGTCATAATTACATTTCTCAAAAGCAGAGCTCTCCTGCTATGTGTGGACTATTTCTATAATGGTTGTGTTTCTAATTACAGATAATGGTTACTAAAAATGGCTGTTAAAAGTAGGAAAGGATACTAGGATGTCATTTATCATAATAGTTACTGTTCATTAAGTGTTAACTGTGTGCCAGACGCTGATCCAAGTACTTGACACGTATGGGCCTCTTTACTGTTCACAGGAACTCTGTGGGGGTAGACACCGTTTGTTAGTATTCTCCATGTGATAAAGAGGAAACTGAAATACAAAAAGAATGAAAAACTTGTTCGAAGTCTGGTCGCATTATTATTAAGTTGGGGAGCCAGGATTCACAACCAGCCAGTCTAGCTTTAAAGCCTGAGCTTGTAGTCACTGCTCTAATGCCTCTCATGATACTGTGTTTTGACTCATTAACTGTGATTCTAAGATCTAAACTTATAGCTTAGTGATAAAAGTTAGAAAAGATGATCATAAAATTATTTCATCTAGTTCCTGGATTGAATTTCTGTTAAGGCATTACATGATTTTTATTTCATCCAATAATTATTTATAAAGATCTCTAACAGGCCAGTCAGTATACAGAGTACCAGATTAAAAATAAATGTAGCACCAGTTTTTCAGAAATTATTATGTGTCTATAATTAGGGTAATTACATTTAGAAGATCTTTTTGATGATCTCCTTAAAGTCAGCAACTGTCTTTTTCATCTTTGTTTACCTAGTACCTGGAATGGAGATAGGCGTTTAGCACTTAAATGTTTACTGAATATTCTTATGAGTGCCTTTTATCTTTCCTACTCCTTGTTGCATTGCTTACTTATTGTTTTTATTTTAGTTGAGTTTTGTAAGAAATTGACTTACTTTTTTTTTTTTTAACCTAGGGGATGTCCCACTCTTGTTCAAGCATTGCCAGGCCCTAGCACACAAGTCACTGCAGGCAGCAACCATACGGCAGTACTTTTAATGGATGGACAGGTCTTCACATTTGGAAGTTTTTCTGTAAGGAATTTTTAAAACATTAATAATATTGCATTATACCATTGCCTTATAATTTGTCTATATTAGCTCTTTTTTCTGTTTCCAGAATATAATATAACAATTATATTATAATTGTTACATATGCATATTTCATGCCTTCATCCCCAACACACACTAAACCTGAATGATATTCTTTGAAGTAATTTTCCTCTCTAGCTCAGCATTAGAATTTATTGAATTTAACAGCTTTGTTAGAATTGGACATGTTTATTTCAGATTAAAGTCTTTTAAGCATTCAATAGAGCTAATTCTGTCATAGGAAAGGTTATTTCTCATCTAACTTGTAGAGATGAATTTTTCTTAACACATAGAACTATGCTATTTTGTAACCTTTTAAAAGCCTAGTTTTTTTTATTTGATTTGTTTAAAATTATACTTTCTTTTTTCCTTTTCCACCCTCTGAGTCTATCCGCCTGTCTGTTACATAGGCGCTTGTGCACATTCTCTCCCTCTCTCTGCACCAAAGCTTAAAGAGTGAAAATGCTCTAAGAATTTTGTGTAGTTTGGGCATAGTAGATATCAAGAAAAATCTTTGCGAGACTGTGCTAATACTCTTGTACCATTTCAGATGTGGATAATTACTAAGAACTCTTGAACCTAAGTGTCTGAGATGACATTTACAGCTTTTGATTTTTTAAAAACTGTAAATGTGTACTTAAAATATTTTATTTGAAAATGGTTTCAAACTTACAGAAAGATTGCACAACTAAGAACAGTGTGTAGAATATCTGGTTAGTGTCTTTAACCAGATTCACCTATTGTTAACATTTTGATCCAGCATTTGCTTTATTATTGCACATGTGGCTGTTCTCTTTCTCACACACGCAGTGTGTGTGTATGCACAAATGTGTGTGTGTACGTATGTATATAAAATATTTTTTTTTCTCAAATCCTTTGACAATGTCTTGTGTACATTATGGCCCGTTACCTCCTACATACTTTAGTTTGTATTTTGTGAATTGACCTAATAATTATTTTTTGGCATTTCTTTCCCCTCCAATCTAGGATCAGGCATTACATTTGCCTGTTGTGTGTCTTTAGTCTCCTTTAATCTGTAACATTTCTACAGCTATGTATTGTCTATTATAACATTGACATTTTTGAAGAGTATATAGTACTGTTTTGAAAAATAGAATCCTCTTCATTTTTGTTTCTTTGATAATGTCCTCATGTTTAGATGCAGGTTGTGCACCCAGGCCAAGATACTCTGTAAGTTATGTTGTGTTTGCCCTCACTGCATCACATCTGAAGGCTCAGAATGTCCATCTGCTCTTCATTGATTATGGACATTTTGATCACCTGATCAAATGTCTGATTTCTGTACTGTTTCTCCTTTGAAACTATAAGCAACCTGTAGGTTGACACTTTTAAGATGCCTGCTTCTCATCAAAATTTCCCCCTAGATTTAGCATCCATTGATCATTCTTTCCTGAGCTAGTCTTTACTATAATGTTTAAAAAATGGTGATTTTTTTCAACTCCAGTAGGCACTTGGCCTTTTACTCTAAGCAAGAGCCCTCCTTTCCTGTTTACTTGTTTTTCTACTTATTATTGGTATAGACTCAGGTATTTGTATTTTCTTCATTATCATCTTTAATTATTTGGGTGCCTAGATTATCTCCGATTTGGCCAGCAGTAGCCCCTTCAAGTTGGCTCCTGTATTCTTGTGACATGCCCCTTCATTTTTTGGAGTGCTTCCTTTCTTTCCAGCATAACAAGTTGTTCAGGGTTTATCTTGTACAGGCCCTGTATGACTGTCCTAGAATCAGCCATTTCTCCAAGAACCCTGATTCTTTTTAGTGGGGAATAGTATTAGACACTAACTGGGCACTAGAAGTGTTCATTGCTACAGGACGTCTTTGGATCTCTGGTATGCATATATTTATATGTCCACATATATGTATGTATTTTAGAAATCATAGGCCAGGTGTGGTGGCTCATACCTATAATCCCAGCACTTTGGCAGGCCAGTGTAGGAGGATCACTCAAGCCCAGGAGTTTGAGACCAGCCTGGACAACATAGTGAGACCCCATCTCTATTAAAAAAATTAGCTGGGTGCCGTGGCACATGCCAGTGGTCCTAGCTGCTCAGGAGGTTGAGGTAGGAGGATCACTTGAGCCCTGGAGGTCGAGGCTGTAGTGAGAGCTGTGATTCCATCATTGCCCTCTGGCCTGGACAGCAGAGCAAGATCCTGTCTCAAAAAGAAAGAAAAAGAACCCCACTGTGACTTCTACTTCCAATCCATTCCCACAAGGTTCTTTCTTACCTGTCCTGTTCTATATTTATGTACTTTCTTCCTCAGTAAGAATCTTTCCTCTCAACAATATCAATATATTTATTTCTCACTTAGTCCCCAGATATGTCTAAAATAGTTTTATATTTGCTTTGCCTGTACAAGTTCAAAAAAACAAACTCACTGAAAGGTCATTCTTGCTCTTTCCCCTCCCACCTGCTCCCCACCCCAAGTCTGAAGGTGTATAGTCAAGCACTGTCCATGAGTGGCCTGGATTCTCTCTCTCACTCCTTTCAGTGGAAATTGTGATTCCTTTGGAATAGAGTGGGGCTCATTTGTTTCAGTTTAAGATTCCCCTCACCCTATCCTTTGATTAAGTTTTATTTCATTTTTAAAATATATAGAACATTTACATGTTGCTAAAAATTAAGTTATACAAAAATTGTATACTCAAGAGGTGTCACTTCCTCCCATATCCTTGACATTCCTGCCTCCCCACACCTTTCATTCCATACTTGGAGGTAATGAATGTCATTGTTTTACAGTTTATTCTTCTTGTGTTTCTTCTTGTGAAGATATATAAGCATGCAGACACACTATTTTATATATATATACCTATATATGTATGTATGTGTATACACAGTTATGCACTGTATAACAGTATTTTGGTCAGTGATGGACTGCGTATGCTAAGGTGTTCCCATAAGATTATAATAAGTACTTTGACTATAACTTTTCTATGTTTACATGCAGAAATACTTACTAATGGGTTACAGTTGCCTACAGTATTCAGTACACCAGCATGCTGTACAGGTTGGTAGCCTAGGAGCAATAGGCTACACCATATCACCTAAGTATGTAGTAGATATACCGTCTAGGTTTGTATAAGTCCACTCTGATGTTCGCAGCATCACAGAATCACCTAATGACACATATTTCAGAACATATCCCTGTCATTAAGTGACATGTGACTGTACATAAATATATATATTTCCCCTTTCCCGTTTTTTAAAGGTAATAGCCTATATATGCTCTTTTGCACTTTGCTCTTTTCGCTTCAGCATCTCTCCTAGAAATCACTCCATATCAATTCATAAAGCTCTTCATTTTTTTTTTTACCTCCATGTAATACCCCATTGTGTGTATATATGATAGTTTATTCATTCAGTTTCTCATGTTTATATATTTACGTGGTTTCCAATACTTTGTAATGGTAGTAGTGAATATTGTTAGAGGTGTATCTTTGAGATAAATTCCTAGAAGTGAGATTACTGTGTTGAAGGTTAATGCCTATGTAGTTTTGTGAGATATTAACAATTCTCCTGTATTTTGCTTTCACACTAACGGTGTATGAGATTGCCTGTTTCCACAGAATTGCCAACAGAATGTGTTGTGGTACCTTTAATTTGTGCCAGTCTGATGGGTGAGGAATGGTCCTGCTTACTTCCAAGTTCCTTTGCCTTTAGTTGGTGCTCTGATCCTCAAAGTTCGGATCCATATTTAGTATTTTGGCATTGAAGGTTAACTTTCTTTTTGGGGGCATGTGTTTCCCTGTGCTTTTTCTAACTTCTTCACACGCCTCTGTCCTCCTTCTTAAGAACTTCCCTGTTCGTGCTTTGCACATGCTCAGGTTTGCAGTAGCCGGTGGGTGGAGAGAACTCTTGGAATTTGGCTCTTCTGCTTACAGGAAACATAGAGATCATGACACCCGCTGTCTCCTTCCACTGCTGAAGGTTTGAGTCACATATAGATTTGTTTGCACAGCATATTTTTGTGTCTTTTGAGGTGGTTATGTGAGTGATAAGATTTGACGTCAGACAGTCATTGTCCTCCAGTCCCAGCAGTCCTAGTTGTGAACTTTTATGAATTTAAATGTGGCTTATTTATAACCACATTCTGGTCCTTATGGGGTTGTCCAGGTATCTAACACATTTTTGGACTGCTTTTCTTCATATTAGTTGGTAGTAAGGGAATACATATTTATTTCAATAGTCAATGAAAAAGATAACTAATTTATTTTTCCTCCAAAAGCAGAATATATCCCTGAATATGATATATTTTGCTCACTATTTACTTTTTTTTTTCTTTTTGAGACAGAGCCTCACTCTGTCATCCAGGCTAGAATGTAGTGGCATGATGATCTCAGCTCACTGAAACCTCCGGCTCCCAGATTCAAGCAATTCTTATGCCTCAGCCTCCTGAGTAGCTGGGATTACAGGCCCATGCCACCACACCCAGCTAATTTTCGTATTTTTAGTAGAGACGAGGTTTCACCATGTTGGCCAGGCTGGTCTCAAACACCTGACCTCAGGTGATCCTCCCATCTCGGCCTCCCAAAGTGCTGGGATTACAGGCGTGAGCTACTGCACCTGGCCCCTGTTTACATTTTTGTGCTCTCTTATTTTTGTCAAAAAATAAGGACAGATCTTAAAAGAGTATGAGAAATAAATGTTGAGTGTTTTGGCTGCTTCTCTAATCATGTGCTTGCCATGTTTCCTTCCCTGGTTCTGTCCAGGGATTGAAGCTCAGTTGCTTCCACAGTTAGTTTGTGGCTGTGTTTTCTTGCTGTGCTACCTGGTGGTTGGATGAGAACGTGACCAGAGTGTTCGCAGTGCTCCAGGCTCCCTTGTTCCAGAATGCTGTGAGGGGAGAGAGGTCCCGAGCCAGGGGTGGAAGAATATCTATTGAGTCAATGTCAGCATTCTTTTATTCTTTTTCAGCTACAGGCTTACTAGTGAGAAACTTCCTATTACTTTTTAAATTAAACTCTTACCTGACCAGGTCCCTATAGAGAGCCATACTTTTAAACTGGTTAATAGTTATTTACTTAAAATATCATATCTTACCATTGATTGTGCTGTTTATTTTAAAACATAAATGAAATAATTTAGGGACATATCATGTGAAAACAACATTACATATTTTTCTAATTGTATTCACAGTTTCAGTATTTATTTTGGTCTTTTTACATGGATATTCTCAGATTATATGAGTTCAATAGTGACTTTCTTTTATACTATCAACTTACTATGTCAAAGTGACTTTTTAAATGAACAATTTGGAATACTAATATTTTAACATATTGTGTGTATTTGTCGTACTTTTCATTTAAATGTAGGTGAAGACAAAGTATTTTGGAGATACTTCTTGCGTGGAAAATATTTCAAACTTTTTTTTAAAAAATAATGCACTTTTTAAGACTTTCCAGGAATAATAGAAATTATTTTATTACTTTATAAATATTTGGTCCAAATTCTTACATATTGTATTTATTTTAAAAACCCAAACTAACAATTGGTGAAAAATAAGGTTTCATAGATTGATTTTTATCTACTGCCTCCTTAACTTTATGAAAATTAGATTGTTTACACAGCAATATTGCTAATATGGTTTATTTAATCTTTTAGAAAGGACAACTGGGCAGACCAATTTTGGATGTGCCATATTGGAATGCAAAGCCAGCTCCCATGCCTAACATTGGATCAAAATATGGAAGAAAAGCTACTTGGATAGGTGCAAGTGGGGACCAAACTTTTTTACGAATTGATGAAGCACTTATTAATTCTCATGTACTTGCTACATCAGAAATTTTTGCCAGTAAACACATAATAGGTAATACCAGAAATAAACAAATGCCCCTTCCAAACTCTTGTCTTGATTGATAGTAAATGGTTTATCTTTCCCTTTAATGAAATGTACTTTTGTAGCTTTTTGTTTTCTTTCTGCTCAAAGAAATTTAAACAAAGCCTGTAAATGTCTCCGTTTATATGTGTCTCTATGCTGAAAGAATGGAATAATTGGGAGATCTGGAAACCACAGTATTTGTGAGCTAGACAGTGGTAGAACTATAAACTAAATTCTAGTAGGATAAAATCCATATTAGAGTAAGAGAGTTTTATGCATTGTTTATTGCTAAATAAATGTTAGAAATTAATTTTTATGGGAGGTTATATAAATCCAACTTTGAAATTTCACGAAGACCAAGTTATCAATCTGTACTGTGTCCATGATACTGTGAATAATTATATAATAGAGTGGTATAGCAAGAGATTAGGAGCATGTGTTGTGGATTTAGACATCTTGAGGTTTTATTCCTAATTCTCCCACTTAAAGATTTTTTAATTACTTAGCCTCTTTTATTCTCTGCTTATTCACCTGAGAAATGGAGATAATACTACTTTATGGGTTTTGGAGAATTTAAAAGGGTAATATATATTAAAATTATATATAAATATTTTTTTCTTAAGGCTTGGTACCTGCTTCTATATCAGAACCTCCTCCATTTAAATGCCTTCTGATAAATAAAGTGGATGGGAGTTGTAAAACTTTTAATGACTCAGAACAAGAGGATCTGCAAGGATTTGGTGTGTGTCTTGATCCTGTATATGATGTAATTTGGAGGTAAGCATCTCAGTTTATAAAATAGTCAATAAGTTTTGATGCAGTTATACTCTTATGGTAATATAAACTTTATTTACAGGTGGACTTTTCACATGTGAGTACTCTCCTGTTTATCTAATAACTGCAATTCTGTCTCAGTGATTCACAGGGACCTTTATACTGTAGCATAGTGGTTAAGAGCATGCATTTTAAGCAACACTACCTAGGTTTATCCCAGCTCCACAACTTGCTTTCTGTGTCACCCTGGAGAAGTTACTTTGACTGTGTGCCTCAGTTTTCTCATTTATGAAATGGGGATGCTAATACTACAGAGGTGCATACTAGGTGCCATATAAGTGTTTGCTATTATCATTATAATTATTAATTTTACTGTTGAGAGTTCTGTTGTTATTTTTAGTCTGTCATCAATCCTGTTTATATTGTATAGAATTCATTCTATTTTTTGTTCTCATAATTATTATTAACTATGAGGAGGAAATTATGCCAAAGACAATAAAGAATAAAGAAGATAATTGAGCTTGCCCTTTAAGAATGTGCATTAAAAAATACTCTTACTGGTAGAGAAATATACAGGATTATATGCATTCTGGAAATTATAAAAACATAGAGATAAATAAGGCACAAAAGAGACTCAAGAAATTATGTTGCATTTGTTTGAAATTTATTGTGGTGCTGGGCCGGGTGCGGTGGCTCACGCCTGTAATCCCAGCACTTTGGGAGGCCAAGGCGGGCAGATCACGAGGTCAGGAGATCGAGACCATCCTGGCTAACACAGTGAAACCCTGTCTCTACTAAAAATACGAAAAATTAGCCGGGCGTGGTGGCGGGCACCTGTAATCCCAGCTACTCGGGAGGCTGAGGCAGGAGAATGGCGTGAACCTGGGAGGCGGAATTTGCAGTGAGCCGAGATCGCACCACTGCACTCCAGCCTGGGCGAGACTCTGTCTCAAAAAAAAAAAAAAAGAAAAAAAAATTATTGTGGTGCTTTATATACAAAATGAATAAATAAGTTACCCTTCTTAGTGTTTCTAGCTTTGGATACTAATAGGAGGTGTACCCTGCCATCACCACAGTGGCTCATCACAGGGCTGAGCACTTCTTTCCTTTTGCGGCCGGCCTTAGTAGGCAAGATTCCAGTAAGTTGAAAGGTTGAAGTAGTGTGAGTGAGGAGACTTTTTCTCTGTCTTCCTTCTTCTACCCATGCCTGCTTGCATTCTCATCAGACAGCCAAGTTCTAAGAGGCCATGTGGTAGCAATGGGATAGATGATCTCAAATGTCTTGCCAACTCCTTGGTAATTTTCTTCCGTGTTCCAAAATAGAGATTAATAACGAGGCTTGCATTCAGAGTGAAGAGACTGCTGCACTTCCCAGGTTGCTGGCCAGCTTCCTCTCTTATTTGGGCATTTTATGAGAAGGCGTAGTGGCCAGTATTGAGTTGAGTACATCTCAAATCAATTACATCTCCCTGGCAGCATTGTGCAGGGTAGATGAAATAACAAGAGACTATGGGTGAGTGGTCTTTTGTGATCATTCTTATGAAGACATGAGGTATTAAGAACCAAAGTTAGAATGGTCACAGTGGGATAGAATGGAGGGGATAGAGAGGAGAAAAGATGTAAAGATAGAATTGGCTGCAGTTACTTACCGATTAGAAGTCAATGTTCAAGAGACTTAGTTACCAAAGAGCAGGCTCTGGTTTGGACTTAGGTGTAAATTGATGTTTTACTGTTTTGTAGTTCTTACATGTTTTATTTTTAAATGAAGTAAATTTGCATTAGCAAAACAAAAATAAAAATTGGCAGTGTGGAATCTGTTTCTGGATGCATTCACTAAGTTAGCAATAACAGTATAACTAAGCGTAACAGTAAAAACTTACTTGAACTAGAACCATTTCCGTGGGGTCTTAACAGAACTCTCAAGTATGATGTTCAGCTGGTTGAACCTTGTCTTTTCCATTTATGGTAGTAGCAATGGGACAGATGATCTCAAATGCCCTGCCAGCTCCTTGATCAATTTCTCCATTGTTGGAAAACAGAGATTAAGAGATGTTTTGGTAAAACAGCTGAGAGGTATTTTTCTTTAAATCAGGATCAGAATTTCTGTTATCCTGACTTCTGGCTGCTTTGTGTCTTTTGTGTTTTTCAATGGGGCACTTAAATTTTATAATTATCATATGCATTGCACATCCAATATTAGCTTACTTTGACTTTCCTTCTGGCCTGCATCTGCTTCATTTTATATTCTTTAGGAGCCAACTTTGCCTGAGTAATTAGAAACAACATCTATAAAGAGCAGATAAATGTTAAGAACACCTGTTTTATTTCCCACATACAAATTTACACAAATAATATGTGAATTTGTGTTATTTTTTAAAAAACAAAGCAAAAATACATACAGGAAAAAGGATGGTCATACTCTGTATCTGTTTCTTTTCCCATACCGAATTCCACTAGCCTTCTCTGTGGATCACAAGTATGAAGTTTGATTTATATCATCTGACACCTTTTAAAATGCATGTATTTTTCTTTTTATGTAAATAAAAACATACCTACTCTAAAAGTTAGATTTTTTGCTCAAAAATAATTTAGAGATCTTTCCAAGTCAGTATTTAAAGAACAGCTTCATTATTAAAATTGTGGAATTCTGTAGTCTGGGTATACCAAATATACTTAACTGTTTGCCCATCAGTGAACATTTTAGATTTTTTTTAATATTACGATACTACCTACAATGCTACAGTGAACAAATACACAGGTATCTACACACAGAGTTTTACACACATGTGGAAGTATTTCTGCAAGCTAGCTTTTAAAATGTAGAATTGCTGAGTTAAAAGATAGGCTCACAGAATTGTAAAATGACTGAGGTAAGTCTGAATCACTTTAGAAGTTTATTTTTCCAAGGTTGAGGAGATGCCTGGGAAGAAAAGACAAGCCACAGCAGGATCTGTGCCCTGTACTTTTTCTGAAGAGGTTTGAGGCCTTCAGCATTTAAAGAGGAAAAGAGAGCAGGAGGAGAAAAGGAAAAGAAAAAATGAGAGGATGTGGTCACATTCTTGTAAGGTTTTGATTAGGCTTACTGAATCCACATGTTGCACATGAAAAGGAAGGGGTAGAGGGAACAGTGAATTTTGTATTTGGAGTTAAAGTAAACATAGAGTAGAGGAAGCAGTCAAATACTCATTCATCTGGGGCTGGGGCGGGTGGGGCTTGGTGGGGGGATGGGCAGATAATTTCTAGTATCTTCTTGTCTCTTACCATGAATTTTCCAGAACCAAAAAGAGATTTGAATCCATGGATATTAGAAACTATGTGTTTCTATTATTTACCATCAAGAGAGTTAGTGAAACTGTTGAACACTAAAGACCAAGGGGAAATCTTAAAAGCAACCAGAGAGAAAAGAATGATTACCTAAACAATGAGATCAACAGAACTTCCCAAAAGCAATAATGCAATAATATTAATGCTACTAGTTATAGAAGCTACCATAATATATTTTCTCCCAAATGCTATTTTAAGTGCTTTTTAAAAATAATTTAAAATTTTTTAATTGTGGTAAAAAAACAGTATAAAATTTACCATCTTAATCATTTTGAAAGTCTGCAGTCAGTGGTGTTTAGTGTATTTATGTTATTGTGAAATAGATCATCAGAACTTTTTTTTCTTGGAAAACTGAGACTCTATAGTTATTAAACAATAGCTTGCATCCCTCACTTCCCGACCCCTAAAAGAGGTAAAGAAGTGGAGATAGTTTTTTGAAGTTTTTGTTACAAAAGAGATCAGAGAAATGGGATGATGAAGACGTTGTGGGTTCCTAATAGTTTTTAATTGGTTTTTACTGTTTATTCATATGGTTGAACATCCACATCCATTCTATCTGTGCTTCCTTTCTATGGATAGCATTCCATGTCCTTGCCAATTTTTGCTATGGATTGATTGTTTCTAGCTCTTATACATTGAGGATATTGTAGCTGTGTCTCACAGGTACACTTCACATTTTTCTTCAACTTGTCCTTTGTCTTTAAACTTTTTTAATGGGGTATTTGTTGAGTTTCATATTTATATGTATGTATCAAAACTTTATACAGTCAAGTATTATAATCTACATTACTATTTTCTGTATTAAGTATTATAATCTACGTTACTATTTTCAAATTATTTCACTTTTAGTGATATAGTTTTTTTATATGTTTAGCTTAGATCCAGAAGATAATGAGCTACATTTGTCCTCTTTAAGCTGACTATATTATTTATTCTCTTTGTATCATCAGTTATGTTTTAGGAATTTTTTTTAAAAACAAAACCACATTGAGGTGCTGTAATTATTCTTTTTCTTTAAAGGTTTCGACCAAATACTAGAGAGCTGTGGTGTTACAATGCGGTGGTTGCTGATGCCAGGCTTCCCTCTGCAGCAGACATGCAGTCCAGATGTAGTATCCTAAGTCCTGAACTTGCCTTACCAACAGGATCAAGGGCCCTCACTACCCGATCTCATGCAGCTTTGCACATTTTAGGTAGGGTTGCGATTTGATGTACCATTAATTCACATTAATGTGTGCTGTCCAGGGTTTTTTTTTAGAGTATTTAAATTTATATGTAATTCTGTCTTGTTTGTTAAATAATAATAATGTACAAAATAAGTTAAATCCTCTAAGAGGCTAATTCCACAGAAAACAATACATGAGACCTGTACTAACACTATCAAAGATTTATGTATGCCCAATTATTTAATTTTCACAGAGGTAGACCCTTAAAAATAATGTTTTTGCTCAACTTGAATGTATAAACTTTTAAAGATATGATAAAATTTTCAAGTATATAATATTTAATTTATGTATATTATGTTAAATAAATTCTATAAAATGTAATGAATTTTATATACATCTTCTGTTTCTTCTTATATAACACAGTTTTCCACAGCATATCAACTTCATTCTTATTTAATTACTTTGAGATGTAGTACTTATTTAATTACTTTGAGATGTAGTGCAATATATTATTTTGTAACTGGAAATTTTATATCACTCTATGTAACTATGTATTTTGTTGCTTTTAAAAATGATCCTTAAAAAGACTCATTTTCAGACTCTAGCACTTGCAGGTGTGAAATCATATTCCTAAATATAATTACCATATCATAAATATAACTCTTTGTTTCTTTTTTCTCAAATTTCATTTTGGTTTCTATTGTAGACATCCAAAACTAGTGTTGATTAAGTTTGTGTGACACTAATGTGTCTTCCTCAAATAGCACTTTAAGAATCAAACTAATTTGGAGTTTCATAAAAGGAAGAACCTTGTAAGAATTCAAAGGTTAAGTGATTTCAACTTTTCAGAGATCCAGTTTTGTGTAAAAGGTTGTCGTATGGCAAGTTTAAATATGATCATTAATCAGACAAGGGATAATTTGTATTGGTTTTAAGCATTCTTCCATGAAATGATGTTTAAAGCTTGGAGTAACATTCTGAGTTTATTTATTTTAATTTATCCCCTATAGCATTTAATGTCATCAATACCATAGGACATTTTAATTTCAAGGAGTTAAATTTTGTTTCTTTGTTGTTTTAGGTTGTCTTGATACCTTGGCAGCTATGCAGGACTTAAAAATGGGTGTTGCAAGTACAGAGGAAGAGACTCAAGCAGTAATGAAGGTTTATTCTAAAGAAGATTATAGTGTGGTAAACAGGTTTGAAAGTATGTATACTTCGGTTTAGGAAATGTTGTCTTACAACTGAAATATATATGGATCTTTTAAAACATAGATTATGATTTATATATTCTAGGTCATGGAGGAGGCTGGGGTTATTCTGCCCATTCAGTAGAAGCTATACGTTTCAGTGCCGACACTGATATTTTACTTGGTGGTCTTGGTCTGTTTGGAGGTAGAGGAGAATATACTGCTAAAATTAAGGTAAAGTTCATCAACAATGTTGTCCTTTTTTGTTTGAACATACTGATTTTGACTTAATTTATTATTTTATTATTTAATGTCTAATTTTTTTCCTTTTTAACTGGGTTTATTTTGTTTTTAATGCTTCTTTTTAAAAAGCGATAGAGAAAACATTGCTAAAATCGAATACAGTAATACTAAATTTTTTAAATTTATTTATTTATTATTATTATACTTTAAGTTTTAGGGTACATGTGCACAATGTGCAGGTTAGTTACATATGTATACATGTGCCATGCTGATGCGCTGCACCCACGAACTTGTCATCTAGCATTAGGTATATCTCCCAATGCTATCCCTCCCCCCTCCCCCCACCCCACAACAGTCTCCAGAGTGTGATGTTCCCCTTCCTGTGTCCATGTGTTCTCATTGTTCAATTCCCACCTATGAGTGAGAATATGCGGTGTTTGGTTTTTTGTTCTTGCGATAGTTTACTGAGAATGATGATTTCCAATTTCATCCATGTCCCTACAAAGGACATGAACTCATCATTTTTTATGGCTGCATAGTATTCCATGGTGTATATGTGCCACATTTTCTTAATCCAGTCTATCATTGTTGGACATTTGGGTTGGTTTCAAGTCTTTGCTATTGTGAATAATGCCGCAATAAACATACGTGTGCATGTGTCTTTATAGCAGCATGATTTATAGTCCTTTGGGTATATACCCAGTAATGGGATGGCTGGGTCAAATGGTATTTCTAGTTCTAGATCCCTGAGGAATCGCCACACTGACTTCCACAATGGTTGAACTAGTTTACAGTCCCACCAACAGTGTAAAAG
The DNA here is from genome assembly GCF_000001405.40 of Homo sapiens. Taxonomy (NCBI): domain Eukaryota; kingdom Metazoa; phylum Chordata; class Mammalia; order Primates; family Hominidae; genus Homo; species Homo sapiens. The sequence goes on along the minus strand of NC_000013.11, from coordinate 77,204,432 downwards.
TGTTCCTATTTCTCCACATCCTCTCCAGCACCTGTTGTTTCCTGACTTTTTAATGATTGCCATTCTAACTGGTGTGAGATGGTATCTCATTGTGGTTTTGATTTGCATTTCTCTGATGGCCAGTGATGGTGAGCATTTTTTCAAGTGTTTTTTGGCTGCATAAATGTCTTCTTTTGAGAAGTGTCTGTTCATGTCCTTCACCCACTTTTTGATGGGGTTGTTTGTTTTTTTTCTTGTAAATTGGTTTGAGTTCATTGTAGATTCTGGATATTAGCCCTTTGTCAGATGAGTAGGTTGCAAAAATTTTCTCCCATTTTGTAGGTTGCCTGTTCACTCTGATGGTAGTTTCTTTTGCTGTGCAGAAGCTCTTTAGTTTAATTAGATCCCATTTGTCAATTTTGTCTTTTGTTGCCATTGCTTTTGGTGTTTTAGACAAGAAGTCCTTGCCCATGCCTATGTCCTGAATGGTAATGCCTAGGTTTTCTTCTAGGGTTTTTATGGTTTTAGGTCTAACGTTTAAGTCTTTAATCCATCTTGAATTGATTTTTGTGTAAGGTGTAAGGAAGGGATCCAGTTTCAGCTTTCTACATATGGCTAGCCAGTTTTCCCAGCACCATTTATTAAATAGGGAATCCTTTCCCCATTTCTTGTTTTTCTCAGGTTTGTCAAAGATCAGATAGTTGTAGATATGTGGCATTATTTCTGAGGGCTCTGTTCCGTTCCATTGATCTATATCTCTGTTTTGGTACCAATACCATGCTGTTTTGGTTACTGTAGCCTTGTAGTATAGTTTGAAGTCAGGTAGTGTGATGCCTCCAGCTTTGTTCTTTTGGCTTAGGATTGACTTGGTCTTGCGGGCTCTTTTTTGGTTCCATATGAACTTTAAAGTAGTTTTTTCCAATTCTGTGAAGAAAGTCATTGGTAGCTTGATGGGGATGGCATTGAATCTGTAAATTACCTTGGGCAGTATGGCCATTTTCACGATATTGATTCTTCCTACCCATGAGCATGGGATGTTCTTCCATTTGTTTGTATCCTCTTTTATTTCCTTGAGCAGTGGTTTGTAGTTCTCCTTGAAGAGGTCCTTCCCATCCCTTGTAAGTTGGATTCCTAGGTATTTTATTTTCTTTGAAGCAATTGTGAATGGGAGTTCACTCATGATTTGGCTCTCTGTTTGTCTGTTGTTGGTGTATAAGAATGCTTATGATTTTTGTACATTGATTTTGTATCCTGAGACTTTGCTGAAGTTGTTTATCAGCTTAAGGAGGTTTTGGGCTGAGATGATGGGGTTTTCTAGATATACAATCATGTCGTCTGCAAACAGGGACAATTTGACTTCCTCTTTTCCTAATTGAATACCCTTTATTTCCTTCTCCTGCCTAATTGCCCTGGCCAGAACTTCCAACACTATGTTGAATAGGAGTGGTGAGAGAGGGCATCCCTGTCTTGTGCCAGTTTTCAAAGGGAATGCTTCCAGTTTTTGCCCATTCAGTATGATACTGGCTGTGGGTTTGTCATAGATAGCTCTTATTATTTTGAAATATGTCCCATGAATACCTAATTTATTGAGAGTTTTTAGCATGAAGGGTTGTTGAATTTTGTCAAAGGCCTTTTCTGCATCTGTTGAGATAATCCTGTGGTTTTTGTCTTTGGTTCTGTTTATATGCTGGATTACATTTATTGATTTGCATATATTGAACCATCCTTGCATCCCAGGGATGAAGCCCACTTGATCATGGTGGATAAGCTTTTTGATGTGCTGCTGGATTCGTTTTGCCAGTATTTTATTGAGGATTTTTGCATCAATGTTCATCAAGGATATTGGTCTAAAATTCTCTTTTTTGGTTGTGTCTCTGCCCGGCTTTGGTATCAGGATGATGCTGGCCTCATAAAATGAGTTAGGGAGGATTCCCTCTTTTTCTATTGATTGGAATAGTTTCAGAAGGAATGGTACCAGTTCCTCCTTGTATCTCTGGTAGAATTCGGCTGTGAATCCATCTGGTCCTGGACTCTTTTTGGTTGGTAAGCTGTTGATTATTGCCACAATTTCAGATCCTGTTATTGGTCTATTCAGAGATTCAACTTCTTCCTGGTTTAGTCTTGGGAGAGTGTATGTGTCCAGGAATCCCTTATCCATTTCTTCTAGATTTTCTAGTTTATTTGCGTAGAGGATTTTGTAGTATTCTCTGATGGTAGTTTGTATTTCTGTGGGATCGGTGATGATATCCCCTTTATCATTTTTTATTGCGTCTATTTGATTCTTCTCTCTTTTTTTCTTTATTAGTCTTGTTAGCGGTCTATCAATTTTGTTGATCCTTTCAAAAAACCAGCTCCTGGATTCATTAATTTTTTGAAGGGTTTTTTGTGTCTCTATTTCCTTCAGTTCTCTGATTTTAGTTATTTCTTGCCTTCTGCTAGCTTTTGAATGTGTTTGCTCTTGCTTTTCTAGTTCCTTTAATTATGATGTTAGGGTGTCAATTTTGGATCTTTCCTGCTTCCTCTTGTGGGCATTTAGTGCTATAAATTTCCCTCTACACACTGCTTTGAATGTGTCCCAGAGATTCTGGTATGTTGCGTCTTTGTTCTCGTTGGTTTCAAAGAACATCTTTATTTCTGCCTTCATTTCATTGTGTACCCAGTAGTCATTCAGGAGCAGGTTGTTCAGTTTCCATGTAGTTGAGTGGTTTTGAGTGAGATTCTTAATCCTGAGTTCTAGTTTGATTGCACTGTGGTCTGAGAGACAGTTTGTTATAATTTCTGTTCTTTTACATTTGCTGAGGAGAGCTTTACTTCCAAGTATGTGGTCAATTTTGGAATAGGTGTGGTGTGGTGCTGAAAAAAATGTATATTCTGTTGATTTGGGGTGGAGAGTTCTGTAGATGTCTATTAGGTCCGCTTGGTGCAGAGCTGAGTTCAATTCCTGGATATCCTTGTTGACTTTCTGTCTTGTTGATCTGTCTGATGTTGACAGTGGGGTGTTAAAGTCTCCCTTTATTAATGTGTGGGAGTCTAAGTCTCTTTGTAGGTCACTCAGGACTTGCTTTATGAATCTGGGTGCTCCTGTATTGGGTGCATATATATTTAGGATAGTTAGCTCTTCTTGTTGAATTGATCCCTTTACCATTATGTAATGGCCTTCTTTGTCTCTTTTGATCTTTGTTGGTTTAAAGTCTGTTTTATCAGAGACTAGGATTGCAACCCCTGCCTTTTTTTGTTTTCCATTTGCTTGGTAGATCTTCCTCCATCCTTTTATTTTGAGCCTATATGCGTCTCTGCACGTGAGATGGGTTTCCTGAACACAGCACACTGATGGGTCTTGACTCTTTACCCAATGTGCCAGTCTGTGTCTTTTAATTGGAGCATTTAGTCCATTTACATTTAAAGTTAATATTGTTATGTGTGAATTTGGTCCTGTCATTATGATGTTAGCTGGTTATTTTGCTCGTTAATTGATGCAGTTTCTTCCTAGTCTCGATGGTCTTTACATTTTGGCATGATTTTGCAGTGGCTGGTACCGGTTGTTCCTTTCCATGTTTAGCACTTCCTTCAGGAGCTCTTTTAGGTCAGGCCTGGTGGTGACAAAATCTCTCAGCATTTGCTTGTCTGTAAAGTATTTTATTTCTCCTTCACTTATGAAGCTTAGTTTGGCTGGATATGAAATTCTGGGTTGGAAATTCTTTTCTTAAAGAATGTTGAATATTGGCCCCCACTCTCTTCTGGCTTGTAGAGTTTCTGCTGAGAGATCCGCTGTTAGTCTGATGGGCTTCCCTTTGAGGGTAACCCGACCTTTCTCTCTGGCTGCCCTTAACATTTTTTCCTTCATTTCAACTTTGGTAAATCTGACAATTATGTGCCTTGGAGTTGCTCTTCTCAAGGAGTATCTTTGTGGCGTTCTCTGTATTTCCTGAATCTGAATGTTGGCCTGCCTTGCTAGATTGGGGAAGTTCTCCTGGATAATATCCTGCAGAGTGTTTTCCAACTTGGTTCCATTCTCCCCATCACTTTCAGGTACACCAATCAGACGTAGATTTGGTCTTTTCACATAGTCCCATATTTCTTGGAGGCTTTGTTCGTTTCTTTTTATTCTTTTTTCTCTAAACTTCCCTTCTCGCTTCACTTCATTTATTTCATCTTCCATCGCTGATACCCTTTCTTCCAGTTGATCTCATCGGCTCCTGAGGCTTCTGCATTCTTCACGTAGTTCTCGAGCCTTGGTTTTCATCTCCATCAGCTCCTTTAAGCACTTCTCTGTATTGGTTATTCTAGTTATACATTCTTCTAAATTTTTTTCAAAGTTTTCAACTTCTTTGCCTTTGGTTTGAATGTCCTCCCGTAGCTCAGAGTAATTTGATCATCTGAAGCCTTCTTCTCTCAGCTCGTCAAAGTCATTCTCCATCCAGCTTTGTTCCGTTGCTGGTGAGGAACTGTGTTTCTTTGGAGGAGGAGAGTTGCTCTGCTTTTTAGAGTTTCCAGTTTTTCTGCTCTGTTTTTTCCCCATCTTTGTGGTTTTATCGACTTTTGGTCTTTGATGATGGTGATGTACAGATGGGTTTTTGGTGTGGATGTCCTTTCTGTTTGTTAGTTTTCCTTTTAACAGACAGGACCCTCAGCTGCAGGTCTGTTGGAGTACCAGGCAGTGTGAGGTGTCAGTCTGCCCCTGCTGTGGGGTGCCTCCCAGTTAGGCTGCTGGAGGGTCAGGGGTCAGGGACCCACTTGAGGAGGCAGTCTGCCCTTTCTCAGATCTCCAGCTGTGTGCTGGGAGAACCACTGCTCTCTTCAAAGCTGTCAGACAGGGACATTTAAGTCTGCAGAGGTTACTGCTGTCTTTTTGTTTGTCTGTGCCCTGCCCCCAGAGGTGGAGCCTACAGAGGCAGGCAGGCCTCCTTGAGCTGTGGTGGGCTCCACCCAGTTGGAGCTTCTTGGCTGCTTTGTTTACCTAAGCAAGCCTGGGCAATGGCGGGCGCCCCTCCCCCAGCCTCGCTGCCGCCTTGCAGTTTGATCTCAGACTGCTGTGCTAGCAATCAGCGAGACTCCATGAGCGTAGGACCCTCCGAGTCAGGTGCAGGATATAATCTCCTGGTGTGCCGTTTTTTAAGCCCGTCAGAAAAGTGCAGTATTCAGGTGGGAGTGACCCGATTTTCCAGGTGCCGTCTGTCACCCCTTTCTTTGACTAGGAAAGGGAACTCCCTGACCCCTTGCGCTTCCCGAGTGAGGCAATGCCTCGCCCTGCTTCAGCTCGCGCATGGTGCGCACACCCACTGTCCTGCTCCCACTGTCTGGCACTCCCTAGTGAGATGAACCCGGTACCTCAGATGGAAATGCAGAAATCACCCGTCTTCTGTGTTGCTCACGCTGGGAGCTGTAGACCGGAGCTGTTCCTATTCAGCCATCTTGCCTCCTCCCCCCCTACAGTAATACTAAATTAATAACTCATTAAAAAAATCAAAATTCTGTAAGAAGGGAAGAAATGAAAGGAAAATTATTTTCAACAATTTACCACTGAAGAAAGACTATATCTCAGTCCTTTCTGTGGAACTTCTGGTGGCCTAGCAATACCAGTGCCTTTTTATGTGGCTACTTTCTTATAGCCATTTTAATGACAGAGGAGGCACAACTGTTTAGGGACATTTTGATGTAGTATGTAAACAGACATCTTCACCCCAGGAGTGGAGACCGGGAGGAGTGAGAGATAGTGTTAGGGGAGGATTCCATCTGGTAGGCCAACTAAAAATCATTGAGAGTCATATGTTACCACACCTATTCGTATCCAAAAGGGCCAACAAATTATCCTAAACAAAGTATATGTTCATTCTTTGAATATTCACTAATAGCTTGAATGTTCTGCTTCTCAAATTACCTGATTTTGCTCTAAAAGTGAAAGAGAAAACTATAGTTTCTGCCTGAATTTCAATAGCAGGCTTCACAAAAAAATCTCGATTAAATGTCATCTGTTCAGGAGGTATTTTCTTAGTTCTCTCAATAATATCTAAAAATGATATCAATATGTTAACACTCTTCTTCATAATGCTGGTTTCCAAGGACATTCCCCATGGAGGCCCAACCAGAACTGACAAACTTAAAGAAATATTTGCTTATTTCTGGTTATAGTTGGAATACATGCTAAAAAAGCAGATAATGTAAGAATGAATAAAGTAAAAATTTAAAGCTCCTATAGTTATATGGAGTATAGTGATAGAATAATGATTAGGACTCTTGTAGCACATATATTTTGATAATAAGAAAAATAGTAGTTTGGCTCATTTCAGTGCAACTGCTTTAAAATGGTTATTTTAGGATGTCTTGATTCATCCTCACGTTAGAGAAGCAACCTCAATGTGTTATGTAGTTCTATTTGACAATGTCTAATAAGCTCATCAGGAGGATATTTTTTTTTCTAGCTCTAAGAGATTTTTTCTTTTCGGAATAGTGAACAACGTAGTGGACCTTATCTTCAAACACTGTAGTATATAGAATTATGGAGGCCTTCCATATATGTTGTTTTTATATTGGCCCTATTTTTCTTTTTCAAACTCAAATTTTACCTCACTCCTCCTATTGTCTGGAAATGATCTTGCCTTTTGTATTCAATTATCCAGTGAGTGGGCTAAGGCCTTTCAACAGTAGTCAGTCTTTTTTTTTCCTTCCCTTCACCTCTCTGTAATGTATGCATTTGTTAAGCCCTTCTGTATTTTTTTGTTTTGTTTTGTTTTCATACCTGTAGTTTTTTCTTCTATCTCTTTGTAGGTTCATCCCCTTCCACCTGGCCACTGAATGTAGGAGTTCCTCAAAGACCCAGCCCTAGGCCCTCTTTCTTCACATATTCGTATATGCATTCTCTTTTGAGCCCAGAGTTTTAATAGCCATCAGCATACCATAATCCCCAAATTTGTATCTCCAACTCAGACTTCTTTGATGCATTTTCATGTAAATATGTTAAAGGCACATCAGTTATCAGTCATAATATCTCAACTGAATTCATGCTCTTCCACTGATCTCTCTCTCTCATGATTAGTACCATCCACCATATGCTTGATACATAGGCCGGAAATCTAGACATTTTTCTTGATAGGCCTCCTATATCTCTTTCTTCTCCACAAAAAAGACTTTTCTACCACTACCCTAGGCAAAGGTATTTGTCTTGGACTAGCCACCTAGATAGTCTCTGTACATATTCTTTCTATACTTTCTGTCTCCATTCTCTCTCTTACCATTCCTACTTGAGCCTACTCCAGTCAGATTTTTGCCCCCACCACTGACATTGCTCTTGTCAAGGACACTGATGACTTTCATATTGCTAAATTCAATAGTCAAGCCTCAGCTCTCATCTTCCTTAACCAGTCAGCTGAATTTAACCCAATTGAGCTCTTCTTTGAAATACTTTCTTCTCTTGTCCCCCACGACACTACACTTCATTTTTCTTTTGTCCCACTGACTGTTCTTCTTAGTCTCCTGCTGGTTGCTCATCATCTTCCTGACTTCTAAATGTTGGAGTGCCAAGAACTCAGTTTTTGACATCTTTTAAAAGTATTCTCTTCCTCATAGTGGTCCAGCCTCATGGACATTTATCTCTGATGACTTTTAAATTTATAAACCTCTTCTCTGACCTTTAAACCAATATGTACAACAGCCTACGCTGTGTCTCCACGTGACTCTCTGATAGGCATTTTGGAGGTAACATATTCAATACTATGCTTCTGATGATCTGCCTAAACCTGCTATCCTCATGTTCTTCCCCATCCCAGTTAACTGACTCAGCATGGAGTTAACTTCATTCTTCTGTTTCCTCAGGCCAAAAATCTTGGAGTCATCCTTGATTCTACTCTTTCTTTTACACACATCCACTTCGGGAGCAAATATTATCGTTTCCACTTTCAAAATAAATCCCGTATCTAACCACTTCTGAAAACTGCCACTGCTATCAGGTTGGGTCATGCCACAGCCATTCTCATTTGTATTATTACAGTAGCCTCCCAACTTGTGTTCTACGTCTGTCCTCACCCCATTTGTTCTGTTCTGAGTGTGGCAGTGATTCTCTTAAAATGTACAACAGATTGCATCATTGTCTCTTCAGAATCCTGTAGTGTCTTCCTATGTGAGAATGAGAACCAAAAGCCTTAGAAGGACCTACAAAGTCCCCATCAGAACTGGCTGTCATCACCTCTCTGACCTTTTGTTCTACTAGTTGTTTCACTCTAATCCAGTGACACTGGCCTGCTTATTGTTCCTCAGACATTCCAGGCACAGTCAAATCTCAGTACCTCTTCACTTGCTGTTTCCTCATAACTACAGCTCTCTTCACTTCAGCACCTACATAGCCCACTTCCCCATCACCTTCAGAGCTTCATTCCCTGGTAAGCCTACTTAAAACTGTAAATTCAATTCCCAACCATAGACTTACTCCCAATAGCCCCCAATTCTTTGATTGTATTGTTTGCCCCTTTATGCCCA